>NC_000008.11:23799496-24102526 GCF_000001405.40 Homo sapiens | reverse complement strand
TAATTTACTATCAGGTATTAAGTGGCTTACAAGAAATCACAGGAAGGTTAGGAGAGTCGGTTCTAACCTGACTCCCTGAAACACTTCCCAGTCCCCAGTATCACACTGTCTCTACCATGACAGCAGGAGAGCTGTCACCATCAGTGTGAGAAGGTACTAGATAAGGAAGGCTCCGACTGAAAAATCACACTGTCTGTGCCACAGTCCCCCTCAGCAAATGAATGTCTGCCTGTTCTGTCCCCTACTTCACTCAGTTCTAAATGAAAACCTCCGTGGAGTACCTCTGATCACTAAAACCAAAATCACACACAGCTCTTCACCTGCAAGGGAGCGTGAAACCCTAAGACTTTGGACATCAGAATGTCTAGTTAAGAGAGCACTGCAGATGATGCCCTCCAGGTGGGTGGCACAGATGCTCCTGTGGGACTGAGTCACTCATTCCTCCTGCAGCTGACATTATTGGCGGCCGACCTCTCTAGGCTGAGTCTTTCTCAGGATGTTCCCTTCAGTTGGAGAAACTTAACTTATCTAGGATGAGGCCCAGTCCCGGGGACACACTGCATCTAATTGCTGGTCTGCAGGAGGGTATGAAGGACAGGAAGGACCCTTTGGCTCAAGGCATGATCATTCCAGCAACAGAGGCCCTCATAGAATGGACTGAATAATCCTGCGTTATGACTGCCTCATAGGTTAACTCTTTTCTCTGCACAATCTTATGTCTTTTATTCCCCCACAGCTGCTATGATGGCCACTCTCCAATATAAACTTCCCCTATGCAATTATTCACCTCAGAGTCAGTTTGCTGAGGGGCCCGACCTGAGGCAGACACATTGGATGTAGGTGGAAAAGAGGCTGAAGAAGCCAGTTCTCAACACTCACAAATTCTACGAGTCCTCAGTCCTGTAATTCATGTGAAAATAGCCCTGGGAGCTGTCACAGAGCCTGGCACAGGGTTAACCAACACATATTTGCTTTAAAATATTATGATAACGCTAACATTTGTTGAACACTTCCTGTGTATGTAGATATTGATCTAAGTTCTTTGTATAAACTCATTTAATCTTTATAAGAAGCCTATGGAGTAGATACTACCTTATCCACTCTACAAGTGAGAAAAATAAGGCACAAAGTGGTTATTTTTAAAGTTAAACAGACTAAGTGGCAGAGCTAGGATTTTAACCCACGTAGTCTAATACTAAGGCTTGTATTCTTACCTGCTTTTCTGCTGCAATATTAATTTTGCAGCCAATAAAATCTCTCACGTACCAAAAAAAGCCCTGCTTTGACATTTTAAAATGTGATGGGATTAAGACAAAGGGATTAAAGGATTTTTACTGAGGTCTGTAGTGGGCTGAATAATGGCTGCTTAAACTGCCCAGATCCTAATCCCCAGAATATGTGAATATGTTATCTTATAAAGCAAACGGGACTTTACAGATGTGATTAAATTAAGGGTGTTGAGATGGAGAAATTATCTGTAATTAGCCAAGTGGGCCTGAAATGTAATCACAAGAGTGCTTCCAAGAGAAGTAGAGGGAGATACTATGAGGAGAAGAGAGAAGAGGATAAGGCAGGGTGATGACAGAAGCCAAGATTGGAGTGATGCAGCCACCAGAAGCTGGGAAAGACCCCCCAACACACACCTGCAAAGAGGAGAAAAAGACTTTCCCCTTAGAGCCTCCAGAGAGAACCAACATTGATGGCACCCTGGTTTTCACCCTGTAAGATTCATTCCGACTTCTGGTCTCAAGAACTGTAAGAAAATAAATATATTTGTGAAGCCAGTAAATTGTGATAATTTCTTTCAATAACAACAAAAAGCTAATATGGGTTCATAAAAATTATAGCATTTGCAGTACTGTCTGGAAGCATCTTTTGGAGAGCTAGATTGGATCCACCTAGCTATTGCAGGTTAACAGGAACGGTCCAATGAACTCTGAAAATATTGACAATGGACTTGATCTAACTACCACCTTCTACTAAGGACAGTGGTTAGGCGGGGCATGAGACTCAGAAATGTAATAAATGTGTAGTTGGTAATTAGTATTGATAGGTGTTGTTTCTTCTCCCAAAACTTAATTTCTGAGAGTTAAGAATTATACATAAGGCAGGTCACCTACTCAACAATGCATAACAAGAGTCATACTTAAATTTCAGGATAGCTTTTTCTGCATTCCACCTAAGAAGTGGCCTTATACATCAAAATGAGAGCAAGAATTGAGGCCCACTTGGATCCAAGCACATGTAGACAAGACCAGCTCCCAGACGCTAATAATCTTTTGGAGGGCGGGAGAAAGGAAAGGAAGCTCCCATCCAAACACCGTTGGACTCTTCAAGAACAAAATAAATGTTTCCTAAATTCAGAGAGCCTCATTCCATCTCAGGTTTCTTAGTCCTTAAGCCAGCCTCCTTGAATTTTTTTTTCTTGGAACAATGTAAATACACACACACGCGCGCGCACGCGTGCAAAATACAATGCATAGCTCTCCTTATCTTCACTGTTTAGTTATAACTACAAACAGGCTTGGCGACAGCTATGGTTTGACTCAGAGAGAGAAAAATGGTCAATCTCTGAGCAATCATAAATCACCGTCTCAAGGAAAACTGTAAACAAAGAGGTGTTTTCACAAATGAAGTGATCTAGATCAGGGCTTCTCAACCTACTCCTGGTGAAAGAACAAGTTTACTTAAAATTCCCAGTCCATCATGGTCCAACACCCTTGTAAAATGCAATCAACATGAATTACTAGAAAAATGAAATTGAAAGAAAAGATACACAAAATGCAAGCCCAATGTATTTCACTTCTTAGATTTAAGGAACATAAAATTACTCTTTTAAAATGTTATTCAAAGTTTCTGAAAGCTTTTAATTTCTGTATGGATTTTGTCACCAACTGGTAACAAGCATTTAAAGATGGCACCAACCCGCAGAACACACTTTGAGTAGCACCGGTCTACATGAACAGGCTCTAGGTATAAAATTTAAGTAAAGTTACTGCTAGATTCAGTGTGCAAGATGCCATTCTCTAATGTCAGTTATACCTCTAGGTAACTCAAGTGTTTCTCTTACGTACTAATTCTGCTAGCTCTGAAGCATCTCTATAATCTTGCACACAGTATTTTTTTATTATAATGGAAACATTTCCATATACCCTACCATCAGGATATTTACTGTTAACACAATTTAAAATGTTCATTGGTTTCATTATTGACTTCAGAGCATCTTGAACTCCTTGGAATATAGGAAGCTAGACTGTGGAATGTTAATGCTGATTGAAAAAGTCTGCAATTTTAGGCCAATGGGGCAAGTTTGTGAAAAGCTGGTGGAATTTAATTTCTAGAAGACATCTGCACCAATACAATTTCATTCTCCAATTATTTCACAAAATATTCTGTAAGGAAATCTGCCTGAAGGTCACATGCATGCTTTCTTGAAAGGCATATTTCCAGGGGCTCCACCTCAGCACCACTGATTCCGAATCTTTGTTAGTGAAACCTAAAAATTCACATTTCTATTAAGCAATGCATCAAAATTTTTGACACACAAAATATTAAAATAAGTGTACTTGTTTAAATAAATGTACATTTGTATCACAAAGTTACTTTTACCTTCTAATACAATGCAATGAAACAAATTCTTAATTTCATTTTTACATTCCTTTCAAGTTTCATAACTATATCATATTAGGATTGGTGTGTACTTAGATCAAATGTTTTTACATCTCATCTTCTTTCAATTAAGGTAGCTTGCAATATTTTGAAAGTAAATACTTTTGGTTTTTGTAGTCTTCGTTACAGAAATTGTTTGGCAAGAAAATCGTGGAATACACAGGGGGAAGAAGTGTAATGACCGGGGTTAAGGAAAATGACACATGTCCTAGAATAGCTAGAAATCATTTGGGATTCATTTAGTTCTGGCTTAGTGGGATAACTGATTAAATGAACCTAAAAACTAACTTATCAGCACCAAGTATCTGCAGAGTAGCTGATTCTGAAAATTTACTTTGACAGTAGTGTAAATCACGGTACAATTTTACCCTGCCTTTCTGAAATCCCTTGATACAAAATGACATACCTTGATGTTGACATCCAAAACTCTCAGTTTACTTGCCTCCATTGGGAAATACCATGTTTTGTTTTGCTTTGATTTTTTACCTTTTCTTGCTTCAAAACAAAATGGTTATACAAGAATTGTATCTTTGTGACCAAGATAGCTCATTTTTAGGGAAGAAGCAGGGCTGAGAGGATAACTAAAGCATCCCTTTTTGCATGACTGTATGCATCAGATATTTTATATTATTTTTTCTTTTAACTTTCACAGTTCTTCAAAGAGGATATTAGAATTCCTATTCTATAAACGAGGAAATGAAAGTCATCGAGGGTAAGGAATAAACCAGAAATCCCACAGTAAGTGACAGAGTCAGAATTGAATCCAGCTCTGCCTTACCCCAAAGCCTGTACTGGGTGGATTACAGAGTGGGGGCCTCCTAACCAAGGTAGGCTTGTACATACACCTTTTCCTCAGTAGTGTTTTTTCATACCTAGATACTGGAGTCTACTATTTACTATATATGGTCTATCCAGAATTATACTGCCTAGATTGAAAGAGCTTAGGTGCTCATTTAACCCACAAGGGGTGAGTTACCAGGAAAATCAATATACTGAATGTGTTCAAGAGATCAGCCAACCACTTGTTTCAGGCTTCAGAGAGCCCTAAAAGCATATCTGACACTCAGCTACTTAGCTTGATTCCACAATGATAATTTCCTATAGTCCCCACTCATTGAAAGAACTCTGATAGAAAGAAGGCTCTTTAAGTCAATAAGATTGAATTTCTGAAGTTCCCTCAGTTAAATCCTCTATTTCATCAAGTCAGATAAATCCTGAGTTATAGGAGGTCAATGGCAACACCCCAAATCATAGAGCACTACAGGGAGGCAAAGAGGAGGTCGCCTAATAACCAATCAAATACTGAAGGAGACAAAATGAGTCTATACCACGGTTACCAAATCCATTCAAAAGGTCATTCTCAGATATGCAAAACCTAAACTGTCCTTCAAGTTTACTCTCCTTGGAAGTCTTACACTGGCTACTGTACAAGGATATGCCCCTTGTCACTCAGGGAGCCAAGCAACACAAATGGAAATAAACCAGCACAATTCAAGATCTTAGACAAGACCTTGGCAATAAATACCTCTTTAGCCTATAAGTAGTCCTAAATATTTCATTACCAAATATCTCTTTTCTTGTTTTCCCCAACAGAACTCAAAAGCCTACCAATTTGTGTTTAATACATCATTTTTCAATTTCTTTTGAATAAGGAATGACAGCCAATCAACGTTTCGGAGCGGAACTAAATAAGTATATTTAGTTGGATATAGCTTCAACCAGAAGCAAAGATCCATTGTTATAGATAACCTTTGTACAGGAGAAGAAACGTTTTTCAATGGGGCTGTTTGGAATAGTGGTGTGTATATCCCACCTCACTTCCCTACTCCCATCCCCGGTCACTATTACCTGCTTCAAGTATGTAGACTTAACATGGTACAAGACAAGAATGCTTATGTCTCCTATCATCTTTCCTTTAGTTTCTTGTACAGCAAGCAGGAAGCCCAGACAAAGCCCATCTTATGCTCAATGCTATAGTTGCCCTCAATTTGCAAATTTTATGTTGTTATTATTGTTTTTCAATGAGTTTTGGAGGGCTTTTTTTCCCCCTCTTTTTAGAAAAGTAACAAGTTAAATGCAATATAGTATCCTGGCTTAAATCCTGGAACAGAACTAGTTAAAACCTGGTGAAATTCAAATAAAGTAACCAGTTTAGTTAATAGTAGTGTATAAATTTCAATATCTTATTTTTAACAATTGCACTGTAATTACAAAATATGTTAACATTAGGAAAAGCTGGGTGAAGAGTATACAGGCATTCTGCTCTCTTTGCAACTTTTCTATACCTAAATTATTCCAAAATTTTTATTTTTAAACAACTATTACATATTATAGAAGATTTAGAAAGTACAGATTAACAGAATTGTGAGGAAGAACTCAAAGATGACTTAGCAAATTTTGTCACTTTCAGATTTTTTCTCTATAAAGTTATCTTTAATTTAATTCATGCTATACATATTATCTTCTATTTTAAGAGTAAGTAGTGAGTATATTTGTAAGTCTAATATTGATTTAGAACATTTATGTTCCCAATATTCAATATTAACTGTTTTCTATAAAATGTCTATATTGTATTACCTGTATCATAAATTTTTATAATACTCAAAAATTATAGAATTTTATGTTGTTATTTTTATTTTTTAATGCTACGAAATATACACCAGGAGCAAAATTAGTGTTCACTGCCATAATTATTTTAATAAAAATTATCATAAAGTTATCATTTGGGTTAATGGGTATACACATTTTGAAAAGGAGTATATGAGAATACCCATTTTGTTATAACCTTGCTTAGATCAAATATCATAATTTTAATATAATTTTAAAATACCATCTAATTCAATAGGCAAAAAGTAGTATATCATACTTTAACTTGAATTTCTTAATATACTGCAATTGGACATATCACAGTATGTTTACTGCCCATTTGTATTTCTTCCTCTGAATTTTCCTCTAAATTTTCTGACAACCATTTCACATTGCGCTATTAGGTGTTCAAACAGTAGTTTGAACACCTAATAGTGCAATGTGAAATGGTTGTCAGAAAATTCAGAGGTAGAAATATAAATGGAATATATATATATATATTCCAAATTTAAGAATTTTTTTGTATTTCTGAGAGACAAATTCAAATACATATGAGACACATACATGTCTAACATATATAAGACAAATATTTCCCATGGGGTCTTATTTGCTTTTTATTTATGTATTTGAGACAGAGTCTTACTCTGTCTCCCAGGCTAGAGGTTCAGTGGCACAATCTCAGCTCACTGCAACCTCCACCTCCCAAGTTCAAGGTATTCTTGTGCCTCAGCCTCCCAAGTAGCTGGGATTACAGGCTCACACTGCCAGACCCAGCTAAGTTTTGTATTTTTGGTAGAGATGGGATTTCTTTATGTTGGCCAGGCTGGTCTCAAACTCCTGGCCTCAAGTGATCCTCCTGCCTCGGCCTCCCAATGTGCTGGGATTAAAGGTGTGAGACACCTCACTCAGCCTATTTATGGTTATTTTTTAAATGTGTAAGTTGCTTTTGTAAAGCAAATTTATTTTCTCCTTTATGCTTTCTGGCTGTGTCACACTTAAAAAATTTTACTCCCTGCCCTCAAGAAATCCTTACCCATATCAAAATTATTTTTACTCACATACATGCATACTCACATTTTTGGAGATTGTTTTAACATATATGTCTTTAATTCTTCTGTCTAGAATGTATGCAAATGTATAAGAGATAGAGTTATCCCAAAAAGTATGAAATAATCATTAATTTGAAATATTCCTTTTTTGAAACAGTAAATTCTTAAATATACTAACGTGTGTTTCCCAACTTTCTATTGTATCTACACTGCCATTTCTGTTGAAAAAACTATGTGGGTTGATTAAAAAAAAAAAAAAGTTAATACCTCCTACCACTACTTTCCCTATTTCATTCTTCTTTATCAAACTCTAAGTCCCTATTTTCACATTTTTAAGCTTCTAGATGAGTATTGGAAACATTTTATCATGTTTCAACAACATCTTATGGCATTTTGATGAGAATTGAATTATATGAATGTATTAATAAGAACAGAATGGACATTTTTACAATTTGAATTGTAAGACGATGCTATGAAGCTCTATTTTCAAATTTTTATCAATGCCTTCAGCAAAGTTACATATTTTTCTTTATATGATGCCTAACAAATTTTATTTACTTATTTTTATGGTGGTAAGAGCACATAACATTATATCCATCTTATTACTTTTTTAAATACACAATACAGGATGGGTGTGGTGATTCATGCCTGTAATCCCAGCACTTTGGATGGCAGAAGCAGGCAGATCACTTGAGGTTAGGAGTTTGAGACCAGCCTAGCCAACATGGTGAAACCGTATCTCTACTAAAAATACAAAAATTAGCCAGGTCTGTTGACACACAAATGTAATCCCAGCTACTCAGGAGGCTAAGGCAGGAGAACCTCTTCAACCCCAGAAGCAGAGGTTGCAGTGAGCAGAGATTGCACCAATGCACTCCAGCCTGGGTGACAAAGTGAGGCTCTGTCTCAAAAAAAAAAAAAAAAAAAAAAAAGAAAGAAAAAAAGGAATAAAAAATACAAGTAAAATATACAATACACAATACAGTATTGTTAACCTTAGGCACAATGTTGTACAGCAGATCTCTAGAGCTTATTCACTTTGTTTAACTGAAACCTTGTGTTCATTTACTGGTAGCTCCCCACTTCCCCTTCCCTACTATCCCCTGGGAAGAGCAATTCCACTCTTCAATTCTATGAATTTCACTACTTTTGATATCTCACATAAGGGGAATCATGCAGTATTTGTCTTTAAGTGATTAGCACATTTCACTTAGCATAATGTCCTCAAGGGTCATTCATGTTGTTGCATATTGCAGAAGTTTCTTATTTTTGAAGGCAGAACTTTTAGTTTGATGGAGTCCTACTTATTTTTGTTTTGTTGCCTGCCTGTGCTTTTGGCATCCAAAAAAAAATTGTTGCCAAGACCAATGTCATGAAGTTTTTTCCCCTATGTTTTTGTCTAGGAATTTTACAGTTTCAGGTCTTAAGTTTAAGTCTTTAACCTATATTGTGTTGACTTTGTGTGTGTATCATAAGAGAAGGGTCTAATTTCACACCTTTGCATGTGTTTATCTAGTTTTCCCAATATCATTTGTTGAAAAGACTATCCTTTCCCCATGGTGTATTTTTACCACTCTGACAAAGCTCAGTTGATTGCAGATGTGTGGGTTCATTTCTGGTTCTTTCTTCTGTCCCATTGGCCTATATGTCTATTTTTATGCCAGTACCATACTGTTTTAATTACTCTAGCTTTGTAATATATTTTCAAATCAGGAAGTGTTTTGCCTGCAGGTTTCTTCTTTTGTCTCAAGATTGGTTTGATTATTTGGGGGTCTCTTGAGGTTCCAGATGAGTTTTAATATTTTTCTTCTTTTCTATAAAAAATACAATTGGGATTTTGATAGAGATTGCATTGAATTTGTAGATTACTATGGATAGTAGACATTTTAACATTATTAAATCTTTCAATCCATAAACACAAGATATTTTTCCATTTACTTGTGTCTTCTTTAATTTCTTTCAACAATGTTTTATAGTTTTCAGTGTTTAAGTCTTCCTCCTTGTTAAGTTTTGTTCCAATATATTTTATTTTTAATACTATTATAAGTTAGATTGTTTTCTAAATTTCCTTTTTAGATAGCATATTGTTAGTCTATAGAAATGTAACTGACTTTTGTATGTTGGGATTTTATATCCTACAACTTCATTTATTTATTAGATCTAACATTTTTGTATGTGTGGAGTTTTGGGGTTTTCTACATGTCAGATCATGTCATCTGCAAACAGAGATAATTTTACTTCTTCTTAACAGATTTGGACACTTTTTCTTTTTCTTGTCTAATCGCTCCTAATTGAATTAATTAGGAGATTGAATCAGTAACCAAAAATCTCCCATCAAAGAAAAGCCAAGGATGAGATGGTTTCACTGGCAAATTCTGCTAAGACTTTAAAGAATTAACACCAATGCTTCTTAAACTCTTCCAAAACATTGAAGAGGAGAAAACACTTCCAAACCGATTTTCTGATGCTGGCATTACCCTGATACCAAAGGCAAATAAAGATCCTACAGGAAGAAAAAAAAAAAAAAAAAAAAAAAGAAAGAAAGAAAGAAAAAAAACCCACTGGCCAATATCCCTAAGAAACATAGCTGCAAAAACCCTCAACACAATGCTAAGCAAACCAAATTCAACAGTGCACTAAGAGGACCATTCGCCATGACCAAGTGGAATTTTTCCCTGGGATGCAAAGATGGTTCAACCTATGCAAATTCATTAATGCGAGAGATCTACAATTAACACAATGAAGGATAAAAATCACATTATCCCTCAATAGATGCAGAAAAAGCACTTGACAAAATTTAACACACTTTCATGATAAAATATCTCAACATACCAGTCATTGAAGGAATTTACCTCAACAGAGTAAAGACTGTAAGAAAAACTCACAGCTAACATGATCTCAATGGTTAAAAAACAAAAAACAAAAAAACTTAAAGGTTTTGCTCCAAAATAAGGAACAAGGCAAGGATGACCACTCTTGCCACTTTTATTTGACATAGTGATAGAAGTCCTATGCCAATTTAAAACTTTTCTTCTTGCTATGAATTGGATTTTGTCCATTATTCTCATGCTTATCTCTATTCTTGACTTCATACAATCTTCTCTTAACACAGCAGCAAGTGTAGGTGATCCTTTTTGAAACAAAGTCAAATTATGTTACTTGCAGTAGCCATCCTCAACCCTTACTGCACATTAGAATCACCAGGGGAGTATAAAAATCCCAATGCCCAAGCCTCACTCCACACCAATTAAACTAGAATTTCTGGGTGTGGGGCTAAGGCATCAGTATTTTTAAAAGACCACAGCCCCCCCATTCTTCCAACCACTATCATGGGCAGCCAACCACTGTCCCAAAGTAAAATCCGAAGTTTTTCAATGGATGATGCTCCTTAAAATTTAATGTCTGAGAATCGCCTGAGGACCTTGTTAAAATGCAGGTTGTGATTGTAGAGGTCGAGATGAGACCTAAGATTCTGCATTACTACCATGTTTGCAGAGGATGCTGATGCTGCAGGGTCTCAGGATCACACTTGAGTGGCACAGGGCCCCTGTGTTGTAGCTCCCCTGTATTTGTCTTACTTCACTAGTGCCCTCTCCCTTGCTCACTCCACTTCACCAGCCTCTTGCCATTCCACAAGCCGGCCAGCCAGCCACACACACATCCTTCTCCATCTTCAGCATCTGCCTTAGTCACTCCCCTTACAAAAAATGTCCTTTCGCCAGCTGCTACTGGTTTCCAAACTCCACTGAACAGGTAAATGGATCCCAGGCCCTTTTCACCGTTCACTCTAAGTCATCTGTACACCAGTTAATGTTGTCGCTTACTATGCAAAATTGACTGCATATTCACTAGTGAAGTTCTTCTGTATTTCCCTTTATCTATCCTACCTCTGCCAAAATATATTACCTGTAGTATAATGATTTGGTAAAATAAACATTAAATATTACAGGTATTGTGTCTTATTATTTTGGAAAATAAAAATATCAAATTTTCTGGACCCAACACCCCCTTCTGGAACACTTTCCAATTCTTCCCTAAGTTAAAGCTCTTTCCCTTGTCTGCTTGTGTAATAGCTTGAGTTCCTGCTCAGATGGACAGTTGAAGGGAAGGTTGACTGGCAAAGCTGCCAAGCCAGTCAGTCCTCTGTGTCTAGCCTGTCACTGGGATTTTTACAAATTAGAGCTGGGGTGCCTCACCACTCTGTCCTTAGATCCCATGTTGTTGTTGTTGTTTGTTTTTGGTTTTTGGTTTTTTGAGACAGGGTCTCTCTCTATTGCCCAGGCTGGAGTGCAGTGGTGTGATCTCAGCTCACTGCAACCTCCACTTCCTGGGTTCAAGCAATTCTCTTGCCTCAGCCAGTTGAGTAGCTGGGACTACAGGCACCCACCACCATGCCTGGCTCAGTTTTTGTATTTTAGTAGAGACTGGGTTTCACCATGTTGTCCTGGGTGGTCTCAAACTCCTGAGCTCAGGCATTCCGTGCACCTCTACCTCCCAAAGTGCTAGGATTACAGGAGTGAACCTCTACGCCCGGCCAGATCCCATGTTCTGTGACCTATTTTCTATCTAATATTTCATGGCTTTAATACTTGAGGTGGAAAAAAAAGAGAAAAAAAAGGAAATACTGAGATTTACTAAGAGTTTCACACCCTACTAAGGCATTGTCCTGTTAGTACATTTTCTTAATATAAAGTGCAAAAATATGTATCTTGAAAGCCTTTTATGTTTTAAACAGTAGTTCTAGGAAAACAAAGAATCAGAAGAGGTTATACAATTTCTTTTCAGTTAAATTGTACATTTTAGGTAAAATTACTAAAGATCTTATTTGTGAATTTTAAGTAAGTACCTGTAGTTGCTGTTTAACCTTGAGCACAGAAAAAGCAACTGTGACTTGAGTCCAATCAGCAAAGTTAAAATCACAAATAGGTTGATTTAATCTTGACGGCTGCTCACTTCTCTTATTTGGCTGAGACATCAGGTTCTCCTCACCCACACATCTAGGCTGTGAGCAGCAAAACCTCAGAGATTGGTTTTGTGTAAGCTGAACCACAGTGATTCTCCCGAAAGCCCATACCAAGGAAGAATTTAGAAATTCTCTTTTCTTCTCTCAAGATCCACATTGTCCACACAGCCTCCAGCTCTCTCCCCTGTCTGGCAAGCAAAGCATTTTCTATCTCCACAAAAAATCTGTAAACATTAACTCATCTGTATGGATAACTTCCCTTGCATGTTGTTTTATTTTAACCAGGAAAAAAGTAAAACCACAATTTAAACCAGTAGCAGCAGCCCAAAATTAATGAATAGCTAAAAAAGAAAAAAAAATTCGGGTATGAGAAAACCCGCAATGACAAATGACCCCACACAGAGTGGGGAAGAAGGGAAAAGGATGTCATAAGGAATAACACGAACAAAGGGAAGAACTATTTTTAAAGGAAGCTTATGAAACACCTTATAATTTACTTCAATTGCTAATTGCTTCTAAACATAGAGAAGAAATCAATAGGAGATCCATGGCATTTTGGGCAGGAAATTGTGGGAAATTAAGTCCAGTGAAGGTAGACATGTCCCATCCTTAATGTAGGAAATAGCTATAGACATGGATTCACATTAGATCATATGACTTCCATCATAATAGGACATCATAGCCAAATAAAAGCAATTATTCTGGTCCATTGGGTTTTTGGAGGATAGGTATACATGACAGATGTTGCAGAAACCTGTGGCTTAGGGAAAAAATACAAAGCAGTAAAGAGAACATTTATGCATACTGGTAGTAAGAAACATCAGTTCGGATTTGTAACTCCCTCAACAACATGCTAAGAGAATTACTCAGCCTTTTTCAATTCCACAAAACCTTCTGGAAAGTTGTCAAGCCTTAATGTTAACTTTCTTTGATAGCACATAAATATGTTAGGTTGCATCTTCTGAAATTGTTTTTGAATTTCAAGTCGTTTCTATCTTTGAATGAGAATTCTGTAAGATTCAACCTGGTAAACTGAGAAAGACGGGATGAAAGGCTGGGACAAAGTATGATTTTTTTAAGTCATTATCTCTCATCCCCACCCGCAGAGAACTATGTACTACACCAAAGCTGTCTGGGTTGGGTCAACTCCCTTCTCCCTTCTGCAAAAATCAAAACCCAACCAACTGGTAGGAAGTTCATTATCGCAAGTAGCAATTTGTTAGCATAGAAACTACACCAGTATCACAATTATGTAAATAGAGTCAGTCCTGGGCAAAACTGTGTTAACAGGAAAGGAAAATTTTACCTGTGATCATGGTAACAGAGGAATTGGTTAGACCTGGGTTGAATCCTGTTTCAAAACTATTGTCGTCCTACTATCTTGATATCCTGGAGAATCTTTCTGATGCTCCATTTCTTCCTTAATAAAAATTAATGTTTTTATATCTACATGGTAGGATTATGAAGATTAAAATAAAAAATGTATACTAAGATGCTATGGTGAGTTAGACACATCCTAAGTCTGCCTTAAATGTCTGTGTTTTGTATTTTTTCACCCCACTCCAGTGCCTGTCTACCCCATCTTGTTAGCATGGCCTAGAGAAAAGCATGTGTTCTCCAACATCTTTCATCTATTAGTCCTGGCTGTTTATTACATGCCATGTAAGGATCTAATCAACAAAGTCTAACCCATTTCTAGTGATTAATAGGCATAATTGTCTTCTAGAAAGATCTGCATTTTAACAAACAAAAATTCCTCGTTCCAAAATAGGGAGGCCTACTGGTTCAGTTCCAAGCATTTGTTAAATTCTAAGATCTGGAGGCTAGAATTAACCTTTTAAAACATGGGTCACCAAACTTTTCTATAAATGGCCAGAGAGTAAATAATTTAGGCTATAGAGTCCATGTGGTCTTTGGTGCAACTGTTCTGTTTTGCCATTGTAGCCGAACAGAACTCAGACACAATGTGTAAATGAATGAGCATGGCTGTGTTCCAATAAACTTTATGAACTCTGAATTTAAATTTCATATAATTTTATGTGTCACAAAATATAATTCTTTTTTAACTATTTAAAAATGTAAAAGCCATTCTTAGCTCATGGAATCATACAAATAAAAGCAGTGGGTAGTATGTGGCCTGACCCATGCTCTGGTCCTCAAACTTAGCACATTAGACTCTGTCAGCCCACATAGCCAAATGCAGTCTCTTCTTGTAATTTCCCAGTAAAAGGCCAAAAGCAGACGAAAGAAGTAAAAAGAAAGAAACATAGAGAAGGGAAAAAAAAGGAGGCAGAGAGGAAGAAAGAAAGCAAAAGGAGAAAAAAAAGGAGAGGAAGGTGGGGAAAGGGGAAAAAAATCCACAGTCCAAGAAAGTTGTGCTCATATTTCTCTTCAACCAAGAAATCTTAAGTCATAAGTTTGATCATAGGGAACTTGTCTTGGTTTTGATCATGAATTGTGTTTCTTTTGATTCACAGGTAGATGGTTTTAACCTACTTTTCTTTTGCAATATTGCATCAACAAATTGCACTTATATTGCTCTTCTAGGGACTCTTGGTATTAAATCTTTAGCCCAATTGAAACACTTACTGCCCACGGAAAGCTGCCAGCCTCCTGCAAAGTGAAGGGTTCAGAGATAACCTGGCAGGGCATGACGCCTCGGTTTAGATGTCAGTTCTGCTGACTATTAACTAAATGATCTTGGGTAAAATAGTCTCTAGACAGTTTACTCATCTTTGAAATTGGATTATATTGGTTAAAACATGTCTGGCCATATCCAGTTGTGCCTGCAGCAGCCCTTAACTCATAAAATTACAGTGAAACTTAAATAAGAAGTACACATGCAAAATTTCTAAAAGAGTAGAGTTGCTTAATAAATCATGGTCATCATTGTTGTCCTCTTAAAGATATAAAAATCTGATCCTCTACACAAAAAGGTGGATAGAATTATTGTAACAAGAAGATTGCTGAATATTGTCCAGGTTGACTGCTGCTAAGCTACCTGAAAAGCAGGTGAAACTCTTGAAATTTCTTAAAGGACTGCTATCATTAATGGTGCTTCCAGAGATGGGGAGGTAAATTACTTGGAGACATATTGGTGGGTCATTTTACATAAGACAAGCAGAGGAGGGAAGAAATATCAATGCCTGCCAATTGCTTTGGATTTTTATCAAAATTGGCAAGGAGTTCTTATTTGAACAGAAAAAAGAAATAACATTAAGTAAATTTGCGGTTTTAAAGAGAGAGAATAAAAGCAAAGACAATCTTGTTCATTTTCCTGGAAGCTTAATAACTAATTTGGCTCTAGGTTTGTATTAGAAAAAATAAGTGCTAGTTAAACACAAGGTAGTTCATGTGTGTGAGTCATAGGAAGTTCTCTGGTACAGGGAAATTATATCATGTAATTTTACGATCTGCTGGGCAGTAATTTCATTTAATAAAGACACAGATGTATGCTTTGTCACATAGAGAAAAGTTTTCAAGTGTTCCTATAATAACTTTGATCAGCTTTTATATTTCAGTTCCTCTGGCTTATTTCTTCTTTATTCCTATGGCAAAATTAACTTTTATAGGATTAAAAAATAAACTTTATAGGAGAGGCACTTTACTTACATTCCCCAAATTAGTAGGCACTTCCTAGAGCTATAACTCAAGTTAGAGATATAAATCAATTTAAGGATAAAGATTTTTAGCAACTGGGAAAACATTTTGGATACAAGCACATCAGTTCAGAGAAAAACAATGCTTGAGCGTACCATTTGGGGAGGAAAGCAGCAATTTTTTATTAAAGTCATAAAACCATGTAAAGCATCAAGTAAAAAAAAATACTATAGTTGATTTTAATTCCTTGGGATAATTAATATATTTCTTAGGAAACAAAAACATGTTTTCTCAGCATTACTCTGTTACATCGAAAAGGATAAGAACGTGAATGATGTAGAGATGTACTATATTCATGGATTGGTAGTCTCAATAGTATTAAGATAGCAATTCTCTCAGTTTCACCTACGACATGTAAAGAGTCTGGAACTCAACCCTCCTATGTTACAAACAAATAAAACATGAAATGGATGCTGAAGACAGGTTTCATGCGAAACTACCACTGCAAAATCTGGACACGCAGGCAATTCCCAACAATTACAGCTGGTATCTGTTTACTGTGAGCAGAAGCCTTCTGGAGTCAAAAACTGGGAAGAACACTTAAATGGCAACTTTGATGAATTCCTGGAGGCTAAATGCAGATTAGCATCAAAGAGAGAAACTCCTGGGGTTAACAGTCTGATAGGGGTGTCACACTTTTCTGGGCTTTATTGCCATGAATAATATAAGGTTCTCAATGTGAAAATTCAAGAAAGATGGCTATGGCAGGGGATCCGACAAGAAAAGACATTGTGAAATACACAGAGCCTTATCCATAACAAAGCCCACTCTCCAAAGTAAAGACTTTACCAGAGAGTCATCTCACATGGAAAAAGTCATTTCTCTGACTCAAGCCCCCTCTAGCTTTCATGTTCAATCTAAAGAGGGGGAAGCTAAGAAACATTTGTGAAGCACACAGCTTGAGGAGGTAGGCCCACTACAACACTGAGATTTTATCATAAGATTATAGAATACTTCCTCTCCCTCAGACTTTAAGCAACACCATTAGGTCTCCAGTATAGTAGCAGTGAACTACAGCTCAAAGAATATCAAGATATAGACTCTATCAAACATGGAGTTTTGGCTGGGTGCACTGGTTCATGCCTGTAGTCCTAGCAGTTTGGGCAGCTGAGGTGGGAGGACTGCTTGAGCCTAAGAGATTGAGATCAGCCTGGGCCACAAAGTGAGACTCTGTCTCCACAAAAAATCAGAAAGTTAGCCAGGCATGGTGGTGAGCACCTGTGGTCTCAGCTACATGAGAGACTGAGGAAGGAGGATTGTGTAAGCCCAGGAAGTTGAGACTGCAGTGAGCTCTGCTCATGCCACTGCCCTTCAGCCCGAGTGACAGAGTGAGACCCTGTCTCAAAAACAACCTCCCCACCCCCGCCCAAAAAAAAGGAGTTTTGGGAGAATCCCAAAGGGAATAAACAAGACAAAAGCAAAAACAACGATACTATAGGAATGTGAAGACTCTGGCACCTACAACTACACCAAACATTAAACACAACCTAATTCCTACCCATATAACATAAAAAGTCACATTAGAGGTTTCTTTAACTCAGTTTCTATTACTTGATACATTGTCTAGAAAACACGATAAATATGAAGAAAAAACAGTCTGAAGAGACAAGGCAACCATCAGAACCAAATTTAGATATGACAGACTTTGAAAAAGACAGGGAATTTAAAATAGCTATAATATGTTAAGAACTGTAATAAAAAAATACACAACATGCAAGAAGAAATAGGAAAGGTAAGCAGAGAGAAACTAAGAAAGAATCAAAGGGAATACTAGATATAAAAAACTCTAACCTAAATGAAGAATGATTTTGAAGGAAATAAAAATACTTTACCTCAAAATATCTATCTTTGACACATTTTGAAATGGCTGCCAGTGGGGGTCAGAAGACAGAAGGGACCTTGCAAAACTCTCTCTTGTGGAAAAAATTTGCATCTGTGGAGAATCTCCATTAATGCAGCCAGGTCTTTCCTTTCTCGGCCTTTCCCGGCTCTAGCAGAGATTGAGCCTGACATCTTTCAAACTTTGAAAGGAAATAGTTATCCTCTATTCTCTCTGAGGGCTATGGCCTATGAGACTTCGTCTATGTAACAAGGCCACCTTTGCTAGCATAGCTTCTCCCTTTATCTCTCCCATAACCTGTCTTGCCCCTCAAATCTGACTTACCACCATAACATGTTTTTGGCCATGCTCTGAGCCCACATTATTTTAACCTCAAGATGGTCTATAAGCTTCTGTACCTCGTTGGGGGCTTAGGTCTTTATTCTGAAGCCTCTTGTGTATACATGTTAAATAAATTTGCATGTCTTTTCTTCTATTAATCTGCCTTTTCAGAGTTGACTTTTCGGTGAAGTTTCAGAAGGCCAAGAATTTCTCCTGGGAGGGAGAAAGGCAGGAAGAATAAGAAGAAAAAATAGACTATCCAAGAAGACATAAATAAATGGAGAGATATTCCATGTTCATTGATTAATAGACTTAGTAGCATGAGGATGGCAATTTGTCTCAACTTGATTTATAGAGTCAACACAATCCCAACCAAAATTCTAGCAAATTATGTTTGGATATTGACAAACTAATTTTAAACTTTACATGAAAAATTAAAACGCAAGGAATATCCAACACAATCCTAAAGGAGAAAAATAAAGCTGGATGACACATATTATTAAATTTCAAACATTAGTATAAAGTTACAATACAGATACAGTGTGGTATCATTGAGGAAAATAGACACATAGATTAGTGAAACATAACAGAGAGTGCAGAAATAGATCTAGACAAATTTAGCTAAATAATCTTTGACAAAAGTGCAAAGGCAATTCAGTAAAGAAAAAAATGTCCTTTCAACAAAGGTGGCTTTAACAATTGGACATTCATATACAAAAAAGTGGGGGAAAGAAAAGAACATAGACAAACACCTTTTACCTTTCACAAATATTAACCCAAGTGGATCACAGACCTAAATTACTTTGCCCTAGAATGATTAGAGGAGATTGTACCTTGTAATGTGAGAGGATAAAGAGGGAGGTTGTGGAGCATAGGGTCTAGATTGGTTAGTTTCCATAGGAAAGGTAAAGATTGATCTGCTATGTCTAGGAATTAGCTTGACCTAGCAGATCCCTCCAGGGTCTCCCGGACCTCAAGATATCAAAGTATCAAATATAGAAGCTAGAAAATACGGTTATTACACTATAAAAGCCATGCAAAATCATGAATGAACCTTAAATGCATATTGCTGAGTAAAAGAACTCAGTCTGAAATTCTGTATGATTCCATTTATATGACATTCTGTGGAAGGCAAAACAATAGAGACAGTAAACTGATCAGTGTTTGCCGGTAGATTATGGGTGAACAAAGTTGAATCAGTGAAGCACAGGCAGTATTTTTTTCATGGTAGTAAAACATTCTGTGTAATACTTTCATGCTGGATAGAGGACACTATGCATTTGTCAAAACACATTGAACTTTATGGCACAGAGATTGAACCTTAATGTCTGTAAAAATTTTTAAATCATTTAGGGTGTTGAGGAATCCTATGATGGAAGCAGACAGTCACAAGAGAATCAATTGTACTACGAATGTATAAAATAATCTCGGGGGAAAGTGCTGACCTGAGTAAGAGTAAAGAAAGGGAAAGTGTGCAGAAGCACTGCACTCTGGTTGATAAAGTTATTTCCCATGAAAATATGGGTTAACAATTCCAAACCATTGGAACAATTAAGTGAATTTATGATAGAAGGTAGAAGTCAGGTTTCTCATATTTTGGAATGGGTATTTACAGATAAGCAAGGTATAGAGACATTAGTATAAGCTCATGTTTAGCTTAATATAAATGCAAATAATTGCATACAGTAATATTGATAAATATATATATAGACAGGATAGTACACACACATGTATGTTCATGCTTTGTCAGCCAAGAAGACCTAAAAGCAATGACACCCAAATAGTAATGAGTACACCTAGAATCCAGATCTTGGTTTCCAATACCATACTCCAACAAAAATACCATTCTCTATTACCAAGACTCCTTGGAAAAAGGGTTGAATCTAGGACTGAGGCAGGAAATATACAAGATGAGACCAGTGCATCTTGCAGTGATAGAAAGTAAGGAAGTGCTCAAAAGAACCCATAATGATTATGGTATATCATAAGAACACAAAGGCCAACAATGGCCAAATCTGAGACAATTTGAACAAAATATGGTATTAGATTATAACCCAAAGTATAAATATTCATGAATACACACTCATTTAAATATATGATTGAATTATGAATTCATTTTAAATAAATGGAAGGAGAAGAGACACATCTCCCATGCAGAAGAATTCCAAATAATTTATGTAGATCCTCCACCCTCAAGTGGGAAGATAACTCTCCATGCCTTACCTATGGGCTCTGCAGGGAGACTTCCTCCCCAGGAGTAGAGTAGAGCAAATCGGGGAAGGAACAATGTTAGAGTAGAGAAATCTGACAATTACTGTCTCAGCCCAGTAATCAAGGTTAATATGACAGTGAAAATTCTTATTGATGGTATATATCCTTGAACTTGATATGATGAAAATGGCATTTTACCTCTCTGGTATTCCTCCCAAGAACACAGAATCCCAATCTAATTATGAGAAAGATATCAGACAAATTCCAATTGATGGACATTTTACCAAATATGTGAGCAGGATGTCTCAAAACTTTCAAGGTTATCAGAAACAAAGAAACTGTCACAGCCAAGAGAGACAAAGGAGACAAGACGACTAAATGTAATGTGGTATTCCGGATGGGATTTTGTAACAAAAAAGCAACAATAGGTTTAAAAAACCTAAGTAAATCTTTAAAAATATGAACATTAGTTAGGAATAATGCATCTATATTTGTTCACTAGTTGTGACAAATGTACCATAGTACTGACAGATACTAATAAGAGAAGAAACTATATGTGGGGTGTATGGAAACTGTACTATCTTGGCACTTTTTTTGTAAATCTAAAACTAGAAAATAAAATTTAAAATATATAAACATGATCTTTCACATCCATTATGTATAACAGAACACAAATTATAAATTTTCAAAAACTGAATAATTTCTTTAGGTATCTAAGGGTATCAATGTTGATATATAGACTGATACTAAGGGTATCAGTGTTCTGTATACATTGAATCCATATCTCCTATTTGTGCAATATGAACATTTGTCTTATAAGTATTTATTGGCTGATTCTTTGCTTATGCAATAATTCAACAAACTTAAAGGATTAACCACTTGCCCTTGGTTAGGATTACTATACAGGCCTAATGACATCTTAAAAAATGCTCCAAGGATTTTAGTTGGTAGCAAACTCAAAAAACATAGAAAATAATAAAAACATAACTCTCCAAGTTCTCAGGGAAAAAAACAATTTATTTCATTGGCAACGAAAAACTATTAGCTATTTTTCTAAAGGCTTCATGAGGTATTTCATAACCTACTGAATTTTAAAAGATCAGTTTTGGCCACAAGCCCAAGCCCAGATTTTTTTTTTATTTGTCAGCATACTGAGTGGGGAGCAGAATAAGAAAAGGCTCTGCACCTGTCCAGCTGTCAAGCAAGCTGTTCTGTCAATCAGGCTGTGTGACCCAGCAGATCTGATAGTGCTTGATATGTCTGAAGCAGATAGGCATTTGGCAAGAATCTCTAGGTGAATCACACCACAGATTTTTAGGATATTGACGCAAAACTATACCATTCTTTACTGATACTTTCTTTTTTCTTTTTTTTTTTTTTTTTGGAGAAACAGATTCTGGCTTACTACTGGGCCCTGGTTGAGAAGGAATGCTTAGCCGTAGTCTTTTAAATCACCATGTGACTTGAGTTGCCCATCATATATTGGGGTTGTTTGACCTACAAAGCCAAAAAGTTAGCATTCGGTAAGCAAATAGAGTGGTATAAAAGAAAAAACTTAAGCACATCTCGAAGTCACAGAGATGGCCAGAAGTATGTGACTCAAGCACGGTGAACAATGGTTTAGCTGGACCTCAGGGACTTGGAAGAAACAAGATTGGAAAATTAGCTCTAAGCAGGTCTTGAGAAGAGATATGTGGAGAAACACTCCGAGTGGGAAGAGTTTATACTTTTCACAGCAAATTGTTACCAGCAAAATGTAATCCAAGCAAGAAACAGAAAATGTAAAAGGAGTGAGGATAACGATTAGGAGGGAAATCAGATGCTAGAATAAGACCTAGAGTCAACTTTGGGCTGCTTTACCTTCACCTTTGCAGGCCCACCCCTGGTTAGTCTCCAAGCCCAAATTAAACTAGAAGGACAGTACATCAGCAGCAGCAACTGAAAGTAGCCTCTTTCTCATCAAATGGTATCTAATATGTCTAAGGGAGCTCTGTTCCTGTTTGTACATTCTTCCCTCCCCCAACCTCCCTATTATACATAAATAGCCTCCCCCGAGCCCAAGTTCCCAGTCCACTGATCCCATGTTGGATACTATGCTTTTCATTCCCTGACTCCAGCTTATACAGTCCTGCATTCTTGAAATCCTCCTGAAGAGCTAGTCTTGCTCCCGATACCTTCAGTTGCTGCCATTGGACTTCAGATGCCCCTGTTCCCTGCACCTCAATGCTAATTCTAACCTGCTGGAGGCAGCCTTCCCAAATATGGATGCCAGCTGACACTACACAGAGTGTGCCTGACTTCTTAGCACTGAAATTTGTGGTTGCCCATGTGGTGCCGGCAGCACAGTTGAGTCCATTTCTTCTCTCATTTGTCTGATCGTACACTCCCCAGTATGTATCCCAGCTAAGCCTCGTGTGAGGAGTGACACCCACCAGATACGTTTTACAAAGGTCATTAAAAAACAAATACTAGGATGAAAGATAATCTGATTCCCCACGGCAATTCAAGCATTCTTTTGTAGAACATACTCATTCCCTCAAAGTAATTATTTATCAAGATTTTTTAATTCAGATGTGCACTCTAAAACTACCAGTCTGGAAGAAACCTGGACATATCCTTTTACCCTCAAATTTCTGTGGTACCGGGCTTCCAAAGATACTTGCAAACATAAATGTCTTGAGATTTTTCCCTGTTAGAAACTCTGTTCAAATATCCTAATGCCTTCACATGAATTCTGTCAACTGGATGCAGTTGGCTTTTTCCTTTCTGTGCCTCAGAAGGAGGCAGATTAACCCAATCTAATGTGCCCAAAAAGAGAAAAAGAAGTTGGGAGTAGAGGAAGGATCACACCAGTTCGTAAGCTGACAACAGAAAAAACTGCCTGACACCAGTCCTGAAATTATTTGGTGTTATTTGCCTGCTAAATCAACATCTGTCTCCTTTAGATGACTAGGAATTAAATAAGAAAAAAATCTCTCTCATACTGCAAGATTGCTAATAATGACAATCAGTTATTCAGGGCTAAGCCTAATTGGAAATACTTTTTCTCAGCAACTTGAAAAGTAGAATATTAAAATTATATTTAAAAGGTGCTACTTCTAAAATATATTTAGAGTCAAGGAAAAGTAATATAGTGATTTAATCTATAATGTCAAAAATAAGAAGAAAATTGGTTACTTAAGAACAAAATAGCATCACGTCCTTTTCTATGAGTAAATTACAGATAAGTATATTAACACAATGTGTGATAAAGATTCCCAGCATCAAAGATAATGCATTTACTAAAGAAGTCACGACAAGGCTTGCTAATTTTTCAAGGGGGCTCCTGAGCATCTCACGTATACCCCTAATACTAGAAATAATAAGTAAAGTTACCTACTTATACATCAATCTTCCTAACCAGAAACTAACATTTATAAAGTTAGAAGACGTGTAATAACCATTATACTTCTCAGTATTTAGCAAATAACAGGTACAGTTTTCCCTTTGTATCCATGGAGGATTGCGTCCAGGATCCCCGCAGACAGAAGAATCTGTGGATGCTCAAGCGTCTTCCATAAAATGTAGTATTTACATATAACCTACAAACATCCTCCTCTATACTTTAAATCATCAATAGACTACCTATAATACTTAAAACAACGTAGATGTTATGCAAATCATTGTTATGCTTTGTTTTCAATCGTATTATTTTTATCATGGTATATGTATTTATTTACTTTTTCTGTATTTTTGATCGTCAGTTGTTTGAATCCTCAGATGCAAAACTTGTGGATATGGAGGGTCAATATACTTGGTAAACGTTGACTGACTGAAGTGTTTAGTTGATGTAGCAGCTGAAATGCCTCATGTAACCCCAAAAGATTTAAAATGCTCAGAATAGCTGATTCTATTTTCCTCCTGATGGGAAGACGCATCCTGTTCCTTTCCCTCTCATGTCATATCTCAGCTAAATAACAAAAGATGTGCAAAAAGGAGGGCCCAGAACATCACAAGTGTGAACAACAGAAAGGTATGATCCACATTCACAAATATCTGAGTCCTACTTGATCTAGTACAGATGGAATCAGACTAAAACCAAGAGCCCCAACCACAATTTTGTTCTGTCATCCAGCTAAGAATGTCTTGCTGTTTAACTGCCCAGACATTGTAATTGCTCTCATCCCTGTTTGGAAGCCCACATTATAATACCAGCCTGACTCGTCGTCTTGTCTCTTAGATTTCTAACGGTTGCCACTTGTATTTTAATTTTGAAATTTTATTATTAATATAAGGTATAACCTGTGCCAAAACCCTCTCAGCTTCCCACCTTCTCAGTCTAAAACTAAAATTTGACAAGAAAATACTCCTTTACACAATCAGGGATAATACAACCTGTCACTTAATGAAAATCCATTAATATGAAAAGGAAATTGTAGGTATCGAGAGTAGTATTAGCATAGTAAGTTTTAAGATGATGGGCTAGTGGAAAAAAAGTGAGAGGTAAAAACAAGGCAGAAAAGTTCCCGTTTACAGATGAAAAGGTTTTATAAGCTTAGAGGGAACAATGTTGAAAAATTCAGAAACTTTAACAAATTTTTACCATAGTGAAAAACTGCTAAATTTCAAGTATTTATATGGATGTAACTAATTATTTTTATAAGTAAAATACACAAAAGAGAAATCAGAAAAACCTGTTTTTAAATGTTAAAATTCATGGATAGAAAGCAAATATGGATAATCATCGAGACTTTATAAGTAATAGATGAACAGTAGTTAAAAAGCACTTTTTAAAGCAGAGGTGGTATGCTCCTAGTCATGATGGAATAACAGACTAAATTTATACATAATTGAAATAATAGGGAAAAAGCACACAAAATATAGGAAAGAACAGTTTTCCAACATTGAAAAACAAGTAAATAACGGCAGTGATCCCCAAGAATCAGACATCAAAGTAAAAGAGCCCTAACATTGCTCTAGCTTACTGCCTGGGGAGAGTATGCAGCATAAAACAGATCAAACCAGTAGGACCTGGGCGTTTTCCCTGAGTTGAAGAGGCAGAGGTCAGGGTTTAAGAAGGCTAAGAATTCATACTTACTGGCAGGGGAGATACCATGATCATGAAGGTGATTTTCCCAGCACGAGGCTCATCCATTGCACTCCGGATGTGCTGACCCCTGCAATTTCCCCAAATGTGGGAAATTCAACTGCATAATTTGTGGTAGTGGGGACTGTGTTAGCACTTTCCCCTGGTCTTCATGGTTGAAGAACAGGTCCAGGCCGGGCTCGGCAGGTCACGCCTGTAATCCCAGCACTTTGGGAGGCTGAAGCAGGTGGATCACCTGAGGTCAGGAGTTCAAGACCAGCCTGGCCAGTATAGTGAAACCCTGTCTCTACTAAAAATACAAAAATTAGCTGGGCATGGTGGCACACGTCTGTGGTCCCAGCTACTTGGGAGGCTGAGCCAGGAGAATTGCTTGAACCTGGGAGGCGGAGGTTGCAGTGAGCTGAGATCATGCCACTGCACTCCAGCCTGGGTGACAGAGCAAGACTCCATCTCAAAAAAAAAAAAAGGAGAAGAAAGAAGAAAGAAGAAGGAGGAAGGAGGAAGGAGGAAGGAGGAAGGAGGAAGGAGGAAGGAGGAGGAGGAGGAGGAGGAGAAGAAGAAGAAGAAGAAGAAGAAGAAGAAGAAGAAGAAGAAGAAGAAGAAGAAGAAGAAGAAGAAGAAGGAGAAGAAGAAGAAGAAGAAGTAGTAGTAGTAGTAGTAGTAGTAGTAGTCGTCGTCTAAGAATTCTCAATTCATGAGGCAGGTTACTGAAGAGAAGAGAATGAACGCCAGAGATTATCAGAGGGTTTCCTCAAAGACTTAACCAAATACTGATCAGTATATGCATGTAAAATAAGTCCTGAAGCTAAGGCAAGTAGCATTAGAAAGGAACAGGGAGAATGATCTCCAAGGCTCACTAAAAGATGGGACTAGTTCATGCCCTCAACAGCTACAATGGAAAGCTCTCCTTATGCTTAGCATTAAGTAAAGTAGGAGTCAGTAAAACATGCCCCACAGGCCAAATTGGAACATAGCCATACTCATCTGTTTTCATATGATCTATGACTGATTTTGTGCTGCAATAGCAAAATTAAACCATTTCAACAAAGACCATTTGGCCAACAAAGTATAAAATATTTATTATCTGGTCTTCCAGAGAAAAAGTTTGCCAATGTTTGGATTAGAGCCCTCAAACGTGTTTTGCCTTAGGAGTTGAGACGAATTAGTCCTAACTTAAAAGCTGCTCCGGACCCACATAACAAAACCTAAAAACAAACTTTAAAGTAGCTTAGTTATGCCCTGGAACATAGACCAAAACTATTTAAAGAAACAAAACAAGATTTATCATCTAAAATTCATAACTGGCATACAATTAAACATTAATAGTCAAGAAAAGAACCAGAAAAATATGAAGCATAACAAAAAGTCAGTAACAAAGAAATCAAAGAAATAAAGATAATTAGTGGACAAGGGTGTTAAATAAATTAGGGGACAATTATAAATACAACTCAATTTGTACAAGAAGTATGAGTATAATAAAAAGTAGAAGATTAAAAACATTGAACTGAAGTGAAACTGCAACATTTGACATAAAAGTGCACTGACTGACAGATTAGACACTGCAAAAGAAAAACAAATAATAAACTTAAAGACATGACAGGATAGGGTATCCAAAATAAAATGGAGGAAAAAAAAGACTTCAAAAATAAACAGAGCAACAGCAAGTTATTGGCAGTCTCAAACAGTGTAATGAGCATGGAATTGAATTCCAGAATAGAAAGAGTAGTGAGACAAAAAAAAATTTTTTGAAAAAATTGCTAAAAATTTCAGTAATTTTATGAAAATTATAATTCTACAGATCCAAGAAGCTCAAAATACCCCAAATAGAAGAAACAAAGAAAACCACAAAAAGATAAATCATAGCTCAACTGTAGCAAAGCAGTGACAGAGAAAAAAAAATCTTAAAACCAGCCATTGGAAGACAAAAGACACATTACACACAAAACGACGAAGGTAGTGACCAGAACAGGATTCTAAGTAGAAACACAAGCTGGAACGCAGTAAAGCAACATTGTTAAAATACTCCATAAAAAAACTGTCAACTTAGAATTCTATACCCAGTGAAAATATCTTCCAAAAGGAAAATGGATTGAAAATTTTTACAGGCCTATAAAAGCTGGGAGAATCCATTAACAACAGATAAGCACTATAATAAATGTAGGAGACAGTCCTTCATGAGAAAAAAAGAATTGTATCAACTAGATGTTTGGATCCATTAAGAGGAATGAAGAGTGCCAGAAATGGTAAATATGTTGGTAAATTTAATTTTATTACTTTTAAAGCTCATTAAAATATTATTGGCTGTTTAAAGCAAAAACAATAACAATGCATTGCCAAGTTTATAACATTTGTTAAAATAAAACATATGACAATAGCACAAAGACCAGTCATAGAAAATGAAAGTGTACTGTCACGATGTTCTTATAATATGTACAGAGTGACAGACTAGTATTAAAAGGTAGCTTGCTAGAAGTTAAAAATTATATGTATATGTAAACCCTAGGGGAAAAAAAGTAATAAAGAGGATCAAATCAAATCATGGAAAGATATGTAATTCATGCAAAACAAAGCAGAAAAGGAGAAAAACTAAGAGCCCAAAAATAGATAAGACAAGAAATGAGTTAAAAGATGACAGATTTAAAGACATGTATACAATCAATCACATTAAATGTAAATGATATAAGTACACCAATTAAAAGACAAAGTTAAACAGAATGACCAAAAAAAAAAAAACCTGAATGACCAAAGTATACACTATCTAAAAGAAATTGACATTAAATACAAAGACACATATAGGTTGAATAAATAACAAAGTTGCAACCTACTCATCTGACAAAGGGCTAATATCCAAAATCTACAATGAACTCAAACAAATTTACAAGAAAAAAACAACCCCATCAAAAAGTGGGCGAAGGATATGAACAGACACTTCTCAAAAGAAGACATTTATGCAGCCAAAAAACACATGAAAAAATGCTCATCATCACTGGTCATCAGAGAAATGCAAATCAAAACCACAATGAGATCCCATCTCACACCAGTTAGAATGGCGATCATTAAAAAGTCAGGAAACAAAGTTGTATTTTGCAGGTATACACACATATACACAAACAAGCTTGATTATATCAATATCAGCTATAAATTAGTATATAGTATCAATATCTCTATCTATAACTATATCAAACCAAGGAAAAAGCAGGTCATTGTATAATGATTAAGGGATCAGTTAATCCCGAAGAGATAAATATTCTAAGAACATATTCACTTAATGGCACTTCAAAATACATCAAAAACTGAAAATACTAAAAATACAATTTTCTTAAATCCACAATTATTGAAGATTTCAAATTCCCTCTGTCGATAATGGATAAAAATTAGTAGACAAAAATATCAGGAAAGACACAGAAATCTTGAGCAATACAGTATTATCAAGTAATTTGACTTAATTGATGTTTATGGAATAATCACCTCCACCAACAACCAGAATACACATTCTTTTCAAGAGCACATGAAGTATTTTCCACAAATGACCATATTTCTGGGTCGTAAAATTATTCCCAATAAATATAAAAATATTATTGAAATTATACAAATACAATTGAATATAATTTAAAAAAATTTAAAAAACTGATAATTTTCCAAATATTTAGAAACTTGTCACCTCACTTCGAAATTAACCATTAGTCAAAGAAATACCACAAGGGGAAGTTAGACAATTTTGTGAACTAAATGAAAAGGAACACATAATATTAAAATCCATGGGATCAAGGTAAAGCAATACTTAGAAATTTATGGCATTAAAAGCTTATATTACAAAAGTTGAATAGATTAAAATCAGTGACCTAGGCTTACACATAATAAATTGTAATAAGAATAACAAATTAACCCAATGCAAGCAGAAGGAAGAAAATAACACACATTAAGCAGAAATTAATACAATTGCAAAGGTAAATAACACAGAAAAATTCTTGAAGCCCAAAGCTGTTTTTTTTGTTGTGTTATTTTAATACAACAAAACTGCTCTTTAACACCCATTGTTAAGAAACGAAAAGGCAAGCTACAGACTAAGATAAAATATTGGCAGATATATAACAAATGAAGGACTTGAATCCAAAATATATAAAGAACTCATACAACTCAATTAAAAAAAGACACATAACCCAATCGGAAAAAAAAAAAAAAAAGCAGACAAAAGACTTGAACAGACACTTCACCAATGATGATTTACATTCTTTTTTCTGCCTCAATTTACCTCTGGCAATCCACACAGATTCTACTTAGGATGAGGATTTGATAGCTCCTTTACCCCATCAGCTCCTTCCATCTGCTCATCATCAACAGAGAGGGAAGCCTTTGTTTTCCACCGCAAATCCATCCAGAGCGTCATTCTCTGCAGAAGCAGAGCTGATCATTTGTGGAATTTGCTTTCTCCATAAGCATCATAGGACCTTAAGCCTATTCTGTTCCCCTCTATTCCCACCCAATCCCAAATCTGGCCTTTCTTCTTATTGGCTTCAGGCCTCAATTATAAGGAGTGGACCTCGGACCAATGAGGCTCAATAAGGGTATAAAGAAAAGTGACACTCCTTGGTCTGAGGCCAAGACCAGCTTCTACTGTAAGACAACCTCTGATAAACCTCAGCAAGTGACCAGACTTTATATTTTACTCCACAAGGAATTGCTGAAGGAGCGAGCCCTGGGGACCACTAAATTGCAGCTTCGTATCGTCTTAATCCACAGAAGAAAATCTAGGGAGGCTGGTGTTAAAGGAAGCGGTTACAGAGTGAGACATAGCCTTTATGAACCAGTTTGCCTGTCAGGATCACGCCCAAGGATGTAAACAAGCTGCAGTGCTCCCAGAGCCTGTTGCTACACAAAAGACTGTGAAGGAAGCTGCAGAGATGGCTTTGTCAATGATGAGTTGTAAAGCTGAAATAAACTTCTCCAAACTATGAATTACAAACAACAAATTCTGACCAATCATGCTAAAGGAAATGCTAAATTATCATTCTATCTTTCTATAGAAAAAAATTACAAAACCTTTTTCTAATAGTCAATGGTGCTTACAGATGTAATTATAGAGGAATATAGCTGACTACAATAGTGCTGAATAAAAAAATTCTGCAGACCATGTATGAATCAACAAATTCAAACCAACATCGTTTTAGCATTTCTATAATCTTCCTTTAAAAGTGCCAAAAATGGCTGGGCATGGTGGCTCACACCTGTAATCCCAGCACTCTGGGAGGCCGAGGCAGGTGGATCACCTGAGGTCAAGAGTTCAAGACCAGCCTGGCCAACATGGGGAAACTGTGTCTCTATTAAAAATACAAAAATTAGTTGGGCGTGGTGTCAGGCACCTGTAATATCAGCTACTCAGGAGGCTGAGGCAAGAGAATCGCTTGACCCAGGAGGCAGAGGTTGCAGTGAGCAGAGATCGCGCCACTGCACTCCAGACTGGGAGACAGAGTGAGCCTCAGTCTCAAAAATAAATAAATGAATGAATGAATCAATGAATAAATAAAAACGCCAAAAATTCCCACTGAAAATTAAGAAGAGAGACAGAGAGAAAGCATAATTAGATTGGATTTAGGGTTAATAATCTGAGCCTCAGTTGCCCTACAAGCTGGGTGACCTACAGCAAGTCTTCTGCCCTCTCTGAGCCTCACTTTTAACAATTACAAAATCAGAAAACAATCGCACATGTAGCTTGTCATCTACATATGGCCATCATCACTGTTAAGGTCCATGTGAGACATTAAACAAAACAATATTCTTCCCATTTTTCTAGTTTTTGTGAACTCTGCTCTTGCAGCTATTTGAAAATATACAACAAATTGTTAATTATAGTTCATCCTATAGAGCTACAGAACACTAAAACTTGTTCCTCTTATTTAGCTGTGTAAGTTTGTATCTGATAACCAACCTGTCACTATTCCCTCACCCCACCAACACTTCCCAGTCTCTAGAAACCACTGCTCTATTCATTAATTCAATGAGAGCAACATTTTTTAAGTAATTTTGAGCAGGCTACTTCATCTCTCTAATTTGACATTTCTTCATCAATAATATTATATAAAATAGGGAATATCTCTTGTTGTTTAGCTCAAATAACATGGATGAAACTCCTAGCACCAGAACTGGCATATTGCCAGGGACCAGTAAATGAGAGCTGCCATGATGATGATGATGATGGTGATGGTGATGATGATGATGATAATGATAATGATGATGATGCAGGAGGCACATACATGCAGACTCAGAGAGGAGGAAGCAAGCACGTTTCCCATCCTCCAACTCCCAGAGAAATAACAGTTCTCGAGAGCCAAATATTAACATCATGAACAGAAACATAAAATTTGACTCACCTCACCAAAAATCGTGGTCATTCTAATTTATAAAAGGCAAAACCGACCAAGTAACTTAAAATATTTATTTGCTGTGAACATCTTCATTCTCAGTTATAAAATAGCATGTACCGCTTTGCTGCTACTCCAGGATTTTTTTCTACATAGTATACACATATATACCCACATCTATTTGAGAGAAACCTTCATGACCCAGGTACACGTGTCCACATGATTCAACAAGACAGATGTTGTTTCTGCCTCCATAGAGCACGCAGTCTAACTGGAAAGATACACCATTAAACAACTAATTACAATGAAATGGAATAACAATCAGAGCAGGAGAAGTTCATGGTGCTATGGGGACATATAACAGGAGAATTTTATTGTTTTACAGAAGGAAAATATCTCCCTGAACAAATAAAGTTTACACATATTCTTGAAGTCAGTCAGGTAAGACAGAAGCAGCATTTTCCTGATGGGGAAAGTATCAGGAGTGAGAGCACCTCATGTTACAGTAAAGTGAGGGGAGGTGGAGAAGGAAAAATGAAAAAACATGGTATCTTCTCAGGCATATTGAAAAGTTTTAATTTTCCCTGAAGACAATGGGAACTGTTGAAGCATTTTAAGAAGAATGCATTTTTTTTTTTTTTTTTTCTGACACAGAGTCTCACTCTGTCGCCCAGGCTGGAGTACAGTGGTGCAATCTCAGCTCACTGCAATCTCCGCCTCCTGGCTTCAAGCAATTCTCCTGCCTCAGCCTCCCAAGTAGCTGGGATTACAGGCATGCGTCGCCAAGCCTGGCTAAGTTTTATATTTTTAGCAGAGACAGGGTTTCACTATACTGGCTGGGCTGGTCTCAAACTCCAGGCCTCAGGCAATTTTCAAATGTACTACTATAATCCCTCTAACTGATGCTTCTTCCACTTTCCAAATGTGAAAATGATTACGGAATCCATCTCCCAACTTGTCACATTCTCCTAATCAAAATCCTTCAGTAGCTCCCCATCGTCACCGAATAAAATCCATTTCTTCACTTGATATTCCAGGCCTTTCACTGTCTGGCCTCAAACATCTTTCTAGACCTATCTCCTTCTGCTTCTTGTCATATATTTTATAGTCCAACCAATTATTTCCAAAACTCAACCTGTGCCTTTCTATTTTTGTCTTTGATCTTATTATTCACTGACTCTAGGAGATTCTTTTCTTTCTTTTTTACTTGCTTATATTATTCAGGATCCTATTTAAATGTCTCTTCTCTAAAATCTTCCTTAATTCTCTGAAGTGGTATTATTCTCTTTACACTGAACTTTTAAAAATATTCCTTCAGTCTTTTACCTTTCCTACTAAATATTTGCATTATGTATGTCTATGTCACATACATATTCAATCTCAAATTAAACACTTGACGGCAAAGGATAAACTTTATTAATGCTCATATCCTCTATAGGTCTAAGCCATGTTCTTGGACTATGATAGAATAATTTATCAGTAAATAAATGGATGAACGGTAGTTTACCATTAGAAGATGAGAAGATTCTCTTGCTTCAAAGCTATAAATGGCCTTGTAATTTATAGTTTCACTTTCTCAGAACCTTGTAACCAAGTTTCTGCATTACAGAATGTCACAAAATGATTGAATTTATGTCTATTTTTAGGATATTTATGAGTTGATAATAAAGGAAGAATAAGCCTCTGAGTTTGAATTATTGTGAGAATCCTGTAAGAAAATTCAAGCACTTTTTAAAGTACTAGGTGCTGTATAAATAGGAAAATCTAGTATACATTTTAAAAAATTTCAGCATATTTTTTCCATGGAATATTAGTAACGTGGTAAAGGTATCTAAAAATAGATTTATGTAATAGATTTGTATCAGTTAAAATCATGTGTACATCTTTCTGCTATTAACTGTATAACTTACAAATTGAGCCTTCATATAATGAAAAGAACATGGAATCCTGAGTTAGAATTGGTTTGAATGATGAATCTATAAATTATTTTTTTTATGTGAGGTTGGGCAAGTTATTCAACTCTCTGGGCTTCAGTTTTATCATAATAAGCACAATAACCCCCCTACCTCATAGGGTAGTAAGAAATGAAGTAACAAATATCAGTACTTTTGTAAACAGCAGCATTGCCATTTATTGTAAATGTTAAATTTAATCTATTGAATCTTATTCCATAAATAAACTATTACAAATCTTGTATCAAAATGGAAAATAACTCCTCCTACTCTATCCATTGTGCACAAAGCAAGGTCTTCGTATCCTGGCTCTGCTTATGGAAAAGCCTAACACTTGCCTGCCTGGAATAGCTTTTAAGGTTGGAATGGGCAAAACGTAAATGAATAGTCGATGAAATGTTTCACGATAAAAAAGGAATTAAGTAGGGACACCAAATCAATATTTCTCATAGATTTTAGTCTAACCGTAAAATTTCCAATGTTACATTACAGTTGAAGCTTTTTTGCATATTCCAACTTGTGCAATAAGGCATGGTTCTTACTCAAGAATTTCATAAATATGTGAATATAATAAATATACTAAGTCTCAAAATAAAGGCCTATATGGAGTGCCATCTGAATACAAAGCAGACCTCCTCTGAAAGATAAATTGGAAAAATATGTTGAAACATTTCCTATGTCTTAAAAAGAAAATAAACGAATTTTTTAAACAAATGGACAAAAGAAGAGATGGACAGAGATTTCAGATCAAAGAAATAACATGTGATATAAAATCCAAATATATTTCACTAAAGGGAAATCCTTCCTTGCTATCTCTTCCTGTAACAGGGGTGGGAAATGACCAGGTGGTGATTCCAGCATAGATAGACGTAGTCATCTTTCATCTTTTATTTTATTTAACATCCAGCTCTTAAATCTTCCCACCATTCTTAAAAGGGAGAATGACTCAGAATGATGGAAATGATGCTGACGCATCTGCTTTGCTTTAATAACAAGCTAATTACTACAACCAGTTATTAATTAACTATATTATATGTAAATTTTACATGTACAACAGGATGTCAAATGGGATGTTTTCCCATCATGTTAATTTTGGCTGGTAACCCAAACCTGAAATCAAAGGGTGATGAGTACCCAATATTCCAAAGAGATACCAGACCATCTAGTAGGTGGTCTAGCGAACAGGATTAGCAAACACTGGGCCACCTTGAGGGCATAAACAACCGAGGGCATAAACAACCAAGGACATCTGCCTATTGGTGAGGAGATGCTGGTGCATTAGCATTTCTTTAGCAAGAGCATTTCAAGGTACCCTATCTTCCTTCTTTCACCCTCCAAACTAGTAACCTGTGATTCAGAAATCTTGATGGGTGTATCTTCTGAAGTTTGGGGGATATTGGGCCTGACACCTGACTTATACCCCTCTCCCCATCCCCCCCCCCAAAAAAAATCTAAAAGCCAGAAGCTGCTTAGAGCATCCTTGCCTGATAGAAGAGATATGGTTAGAGTGAAGATCATAATATAAATGTAATACAAATCCTGTATCAAAAGTAGAAAATAATTCCCCATACTCTATTATGTAAAACAAGGTCTTCATGTCTGGCTCCACTTACTGCAAAAAGATGAAGAATACCTTCCACTGTGAGAATTATTAGAGATTCCAGGACAAAAAGAGATGTAGCATTGGGGAATGAAGCCAGACATGAGTCAACTTGCAAGGAACCCTGTCCAAAAGGTGGGCTTGGAGGGGTAAGGCACTCCCAAGAAAGTTGTTTGGAGTAGATAGAAATGGACTGAGGAGGGCGTTAAGCAGCCAGCCATAAAATATCACCTCCATCAGGGAATAGTGGGAGGAAGATCCCCAGAAATGAGATCCTCTGAGAGACAAGAGCTCAAGAGAGAAATAGCTTGCATCTGCCTCTGTCCCATTAGAAAGGTGCCAATACTGGGTAAAAACTATGCTGGCAAAAAAGAGCTTCTGTATTATCCTTCCCTCTCTTACCTTTCCCAGGCTCTTCCCTGTAAGAACAGGGGCAGCTCAGTGAATGACGGGGGGAGGAGTAACATGGGAAAATATTAAGGAAGGTCACTATAACCTCTTTTCCCCTGCCGTCATGGTTTTCCTGACCTGAAGTTATCCCAAGCTGGGATAGCTCAAGCAGGAAAGACTCAGAATTAAATGAGAAACTGTTGTGAAATCACAATGGACAAGACTCTGCAGTACCTGAAAATGAGACAATCTATTCACACTTAAGAACAATCAGAAAACCCATGGTTATTTGCTTAATATTTTACCCAGGGGGAAGGAAGGAGTCAACAAGACAACTTTAAAGAAACAATGAAAAGAAAAAAAGTTAGGTTGCTTCTTACTCACACCCTACTGAGCCCATAATGTTCAGTAAACCAATTGCACATAAAATATCCAATGGAATTGTCATCAAATCCTTTGACTTACACATTTTTATTCCTATTTTATAGATGAAACTAAATCTTGCATAGGTCAATGTACATCGTTGAGGGTCACCACCTGTAAGGGTAGATTTAAACACAGGTTTGCTTAACTCCAAATCTGGGACTTAACATCTAAGCTATTCTGACTTCTTATTACATACACTATAAACTGAAGTCCCCATTACCATTAAACTGGCTTTGCTGTGAAGGTGCTTAATATTTTACTTAATATTTTACCCAGATTCTAGAAAAGGAGATTATAAAGACGTGGCAAGAAGGAACTAGGAATAGCTAAGGGGCAAATAAAAGCTGCTATAGTTGGGCCAGCAGTGCTTTCCCAAACTCCTCCTTTTTGTTCTTTAAAAAAAAGTTCAAATGTATTGATTTAACAAACATTCACTGAGTTTCCCCTATGTGCCAGGCACTCTATTTGGCACTTAAGACACAAAATGAGCATGGTTTCCACTATTATGGGAATACAAGAACAGTGAGCAGCCAACCATCCAATTGCAGAACAATCTGTTATGTTTTCTAATGCTAATATGCACACACAGAGAACAGAACCTAGCCCTAACTTAAAAGGTCAGAGAGAGCTTCCTGGAGAAAGTGACTTGTGAGCTGAGACCTTGAAGGATAAGCAGACAAGGAAAAGCAAACATGACAAAGAAGTTTTTTCCCTACAGAGAGAAAGCCACATGTGAAGAATTGGATGCAGGAGCAGACACCACAGGTTTAAAGAAATGACAGAAGTTGAGAAGTGCCGAGTCACAGAGGGCAAGGGAAGATGGTGAGAGACGCAGCAGCAAAGGGAAGCTAGACTCTCTGGCCTTGTTGAAAGGACTTGGACTTTCCAAGAAAGGAAAGGCAAAGACAAGAAGACTGCAGCCAACTCATGGGCTTACAAATTCTTGAAATCATGTAAATTATTCGACTCCTGAAAAACCTCTCCCTCTGAACTTAATCCAAACCACAACTCTGATCCAAAAAAATGGGGAAAATGGGAAGAATGCAATGCACTGAGTTTAATGTCCGGTTTCACAAAAGCTGTTTTCTTTCCTTAGTCTGCACCTTATGCTGGTACATGCTCAAGGAAAGGGTGTGTACCTCTGAAAGAACCATGCTGCAACAAATGCATTATCTGGGCATCCAGATAGACATAGATCCACCACAAATATGACAAGAAAGCAACTCTGATCGTTAAAATTTCTAAAGTTATGGGAGTTAAATTTGAGATACCCTTTCCATGTTGAATCACGGAAACAATATGTGTTTATTGGGTTGATTATAACATAACCTTATTGTTATTCTAAAAGGCTACGAAGATTTTCTCTTTTGCCTTGCTTTGTTTTATTAGGAACAGAAAATTACTAAACAGAGACACAGTTCTAGGATTCTCTGCTTTATCATCACTCTAAAGCCAAAACATCTAGTCTCCCTCATTCCTAAACTTCCCTTCACTTTCTTCTTTTAGTACCTTTTCTTGGGCACTAAAGAAAAAGGAATGGACTCAGAGAAATAATACTGATAAACAATGATTTTTAAAAAATCCATCATTCATTGAGCTCCTACTCCGTAAGAGGCAAAATACCGGATGTTTTGCATAAATTATCTCACTTAATCCTCACAACACTCCTATGGCATAGATACTATTGTCTTCATTTTACAAGTGAAGAACTAAGGCTCAGAAAGATATGCTTAGAGATTTCCCTGACTCTACAGACATTGTATGTTCTTAGTTATTCCAGTGTAGTTGAAAATAGTCTTCAGCTCCTTTATCCTTACCCAGAGCCTTGGATAGGTCTTGGATAGGTTAGGCAGGAATAAAATAAGAGTACTCTTCTTCAAATCATGGGATGTATTAACATGAGAGAAAATCTTTTATATTCATTAAAAAATGCATTACTGCAGCCATATTCTTTAGTCATATTTTTACTTTTAGTAAAGGAACAAATAAAATTTTTCTTTCACTCTACAAATTTATTTTTCATTAGAAGTAGGCACTCCCTCAAGTGATATTAAACATTGGGCAAGCACCCAAAATATATTGCCAAATTCTTTTCTTAATTTGGTAGTGTGAAGCTGTTTCTAATTTTCTCTGACAGCAAGTCTTCTAGGCTGACAATTGCTCAGCGTATTTGTATTGTAATACATTCTCCAAACTTCAGAGCTTTTGCAATCGCAAAATGTGAAATTTCATAACTATATCCCTATAAAAGATTTCATTTTAAGGTGCAGTATGTGTAAAGAACTACTATAAATTCTAACACGAAGTAAACACTCTATATACTTGCATTTTTATTGATTATCCAATATTCCGGTTTTGCCTAGAAATTATCTTTGTGTATATCATGGTCTCAGAAAAGATAACTTTTTGCAAGAGACACTCTAATTTGCAAGTAAGAATGCAGGTAGATATGCACTGAAACTCATTGCTTTGTAGATTATAATCCAACTACCATTGATGGGGCTGATCTGTTAATCTCTAAGATGTTTAAATAAATTGAAATAATGATATTCGTGAAATAACCTCAGAGGCCCCAGTCCTGAGATCTAGCCTAGAAATTGAGAAAAAAGGAGAGGAGTTTTAAGGATCAAGATAGAAACCTGAAATGGAATTAAAACCTACCCTTTTCCCCTGCCCACGTCCAAATTTCCACTAGATCAGGCAAATGGAAATAAAGAGAAATCTATACGATTACAGAAAATGAGATGTATAGACCAAATCAGAGCAGAGAAATGGAGAGTTGGCCAATCTCAGGTTTTTAAAAATTACTCAATTTTTTTTTCAGTTTTATTGAGGTATAATTGACTATTGTGTGTATATTCAAGGTGTACAATGTGATATTTTAATGTATGTGATATTTTAACATATGTGTACATTGTAAAATTATCAGGCTAGTTAACATATCCATATACTTAACTACTCTCTTAGTGAATTTTGAGTATATATTATCAATTATAGTCACCATGCTATACACGAGGTCACCAGAATTTATTCACCTTACAGCTGCATTTTTTATCCTTTGACCAATTTCTCCCTATTTCCCCAATCCCTTTGACCCCTGATAATCACCCTTCTAGTATTTGTCTCTATGAGGTTGACTTTTATATATGCCACATATAATTAAGATTATGCATTATTCTTCTGAGTCTTACTTTAACTTTACTTGCCATAATGTCTTCCAGGTTCATTGATGTTGTCATAAATGGCAGAATTTCCTTTCCTTTTAATCCTGTTCCCATTTAGAAAAAAAAAGTGCAGCTCACTGTCAGTGCTCATTTAATTTTACATAAACACACTTTTTGAGGCTGAAGCAAATCTGATTTTCAATGTGAAAATAAAATATGAAAACTGTTCTCCGAGCTATTTCTAAACAAAATTAACTTCAGAATTATCTGACTCATCAGAATCATGTATTTTGGAAAACCTTAACTTATCAAATGAATCTCTGGCCCACAACTGTTCGAGAATGATGTTAACATCACGTGTAGGACTGCTACGTTTTCTAGGTTTTGACATTTTTAACAATCAGGAATTACTGTATTTTGTAAATGGAAATACTGCTACTAAAAACAGAATGTTATAAATAGAATGACGTCTTTTGTTTCCAAAGTTGATTTACTAGAATGATGGGAAAATAATAAAAGCAAGATATTTCCTGGCAAAGTTATCTCAGGGTAAATGCTGCAGCCACAAGAGCCACTGACAGGTATTCTCAAGGCAAATGGGAAAAGGATTAAAGCTAAATATATTTATATGTATATAATGTAATATATTTTGTTATATATATGACAATTTCTTTGTTCATTCATCAACTGACACTTCAGTCATTTCGATCTTGGCTATTGTGAACATTGTAAAAAAAATGCTGCAATGAGCACAGGGCTGTGGATAGCTCTTTGAGATATTTTGCTAACTTTGAATATATACCCAGAAGTGTGACTGCTGGATCATATAGTTCTATTTGTAATTTTTTGAGGAAACTCCATGCCATTTTACATAGTGGTTGTACCCATTTACATTCCCAGCAACAATGTATAAGAGCTCCATTTTTCTCCAGTCTAGAGAACACTTTTTTTTCTTTTGACTTTTTCATAGTAGCCATCCCAATAGGTGTGAGATAGTATCTCATTGTAGTTTTGATTTGCATTTGAAATCAAACAATTTGAAGAACACTGAGGATTAGTGATGCAGAGCACCTTTTCATATACCTGTTTACCATTTGTAAGTCTTCCTTGGGAAACAAAAATATATATCTTTTCAGGTCCTCTGCCCATTTTTTAATTGGGTTATTAACCCTTATCAGATAAATGGCTCACAAATGGTTTCCCCATTCCATGGGTTCCCTTTTCATTTTGATGGTTTACATTGCTCTACGTAGAATTTTGAGGTTGATGTAGTCCCATTTGTTTATCTTTGCTTTTGTTGTCTCTGTATTGGGTGTCATCTCCAAAACAATTGCTAAGACCAATGTAATGAAGTTTTTCCTTACATTTTCTTCTATGAGTTTCATGGTCTCAGGTCTTATATTTAAATCTTTAATTCATTTTGAGTTGATTTTCGTGTATCATATCCAATTTCATTACTTTGCAGGTGGATATCCAGTTTTCCCAGCACCATTTATTGAAGAGTCTTCTTTCCTCATTGTGTATCCTTGACACTTTTGTCAAAGATTAGTTGACCATATATGCATGGGCAGAAATGTAATGTCTCCCCCTTTGTTCTTCTTGCTCAAATTGCTTTGGCCATTCAGGGTCATTTGTGGTTCCACGATAATTTTAGAATGGTTTATTCTAATTCTATGAAAAGTGCCATTAGAATTTTAATAGAGATCGCATTTAATCTGTAGATTGCTTTGGGTAATATGAATATTTTGACAATGTTGACTTTCAGATCCATGAACACAGTATCTCTGTCCATTTATTTGTTTCTTCAATTTCTTCCATCAGTGTGTTACAGATTTTAATGTACAGATCTTTCACCACATTAAGTGTTTTATTCTTTCCGGTGCTATCTTAAAAATGAGATTGTCTTCTGAGTTTCTTTTTCGAAAAGTTTATCGTCAATGTATAGAAAGAAAACTGATTTTTGTATATTGATTTTATACCCTGCAAACTTTATTACTTCTAATCATTTTTGGTAGAAACTTCAAGGTTTTCTATATATGAGATTCTGCCATCTGCTAACAGAAACCATTTTCCCTCTATTTTTTTAAATTTTGTTTCCATTAGTTTTGGGGGGAACAAGTGGTATTTGGTTACATGAGTAAGTTCTTCAGTGGTGATTTAGGAGATTTTGGTGCACCCATCATCCAAGTAGTATACACTGAACCCAATTTGTAGTCTTTTATCCCTTACCCCCTTCCCACCCTTTCCTGAGTCCCCAAAGTTCATTGTGTCATTCTTATGCCTTTGCATCCACATAGCTTTGCTTCCCACGTATGAAAATATAGGATGAGTTTGGTTTTCCATTCCTGAGTTACTTCATTTAGAATTAATCATTATCTCTTTAGAAGCTTTCTCTTTTTCTTGCCAGGACTTCCAGAACTATGTTGAACAGAAGTAGCGAGAGTGGGCATCCCTGTCTTGTTCCTGATGTTACAGAAAAAGCTTTCACTTTTTACCATTGAGTATAGTTACGATTGGAATGTTTGTGTGCCCTCCAAAATTTATGCTGAAACTTAATCTCCAAAGCACAATAGTAAGAGGTGGGTGCTTTAGAAGTTGATTAGGTCATGATGACTTGTCCCTCATGATTAGTGCCCTTATAAAAGAAGGTTCACGAGTGTTCAGCCCTTTTTGTTCTTCCTCCTTCTGCCATGTGAGGACACAGGATTTGCCTCTTCTGCCATATGAGGGCACAGCAAGAAGGTCCTCACCAGACACCAAGTACTAGTGACTTAGACTTGGTCTTCCCAGCCTCTGGAACTGTGAGAAAATAAATTATTATTGTTTATAAATTATCCAGTCTCAGATGTTTTGTTATAGCAGTATAAACAGAATAATACAAGTATGATGTTAGCTGTGAGCTTGCAATATATAGCTTTTATTATGTTGAAGCACATTCTTTTTAAACTTAATTCGTTGGTAGTTTGTCATAAAAGGATGTTGGATTTTGTCAAATGTTGTTTCTATACCTATGATGATCATGATTTTTATCCTTCCTTCCATTAATGTGATGTATCACATTTATTGATTAGCATATGTTGAACCATTCTTCTATCCCAGGTATAGATCTCACTTGATCATCGTGTATAATTTTAATGTACTGGTGGAGTTTGCTAGTATTTTGTTGAGGAATTTTGCATCTGTTTATCAGGAATATTGGCCTGTAGTTTTTTATTGTTGTGTTCTCATAGAATGAGTTTGGAAATGTTTTCTCCTCTTCAATGTTTTAGAATATTTTGAGTAGAATTCCTATTAGTTCTTCTTTAAATGGTTGGTAGAATTTGCCAGTGAAGCCATTTGGTCTTGTACTTTTCTTTGTTGGGAATTTTTTTTTTAATGACATTCAATCTCCTTACTCACTATTAGTCTGTTCGGATTTTCTACTTCTTCCTATTTTTCTATTTTCCTATATTTTCTATTTCTATTTCTTCCTGATTCAGTCTTGGTAGTTTGTATGTGTCTAAAATTTATTTCTTCTCGATTGTCTACTTTGTTGTCATATAATTGTTTATAGTGATCTCTTATGATCCTTTGTATAATTGTAATATCAGTTGCAATGCCTCCTTCTGTTTCTGATTTTGAGTATTTTCTCTTTCAGTCTAGCAAAAGGTTTGTCAATTTTACCTTTCTGAAAACCAATTCTTAATTTTCTCGATCTTTTCATTGTAACGCCAGACTCTTATTTCTGCTCTTTGCTATTTTCTTCCTTCTGCTAAGTTTGGGCTTAGATTGTTCTTTTTCTAGTACTTAGGGGTGTAACATTAGGTTTTTTATGTGAGATCTTTTTTTCATCTATGAATTTATCACTACAAACTCCCCTCTCAGAACTACTTTTCTGGCATCACATGAGGTTAAGAACATTGTGTTTCCATTTTCATTTGTCTCATGATATTGTCAAATTTCCCTTTGATATCTTCCCTGACCCATTCGTTGTTCAAAATGTGTTGTTTAGTTTCCATATACAGTAAGTCCACATTTAACATTGTTGATTGGTTCTTGGAAATCATGAATTTAATTGAAATGATGACCTGTATAACAAAACCAATTTTACCATGGGCTAATTGATATAAATAGGAGTTAAGTTCCTATGGCATACATTAAGTCATTTCACTTAAAGTTACAATTTCCGAGAACCTATCAATGCTGTTAAATAAGTACTTACTGTATTTATAAGTTTTCCTGTTTTCCTCCTGTTATTGATTTCTAGATTCATGTCATTGTGGGTGAAAAAGATAATTGATATGATTCGGTTTTCTTTAAATTTTTACTTGTTTATGGATTAATATACAACCTATCCTAGAGAACTTCTCTGTGCCCTTGAAAAGAATGTATCTTCTGCTGCTGTTGGGTGAAATGTTCTGGATATACCTATTAGATTTCATCCGAGGTGTAGTTCAAGTCCAATGTTTCCTTATTGATTTTCACCTGGATAATCTGTCCATTGTTGAAAGTGTGGTGCTGATGATCCTACTTTTGTGTTGTTGTCCATCTCCTCCTTCACATTTATGAATATTCCTGTATATATTTTGGTGTTCTGATGTTGGATGCATTATATATCCAACATTGAAACAACTTAATAACTGTTGTTTATAATTGTTAAGTCCTCTTGATGAATATATCTTTTTATCATTCTATAATGATGTTTGATTTTCTAGAATATAGATGTCTTCTAGACTTTATAGGCCGGTGTTAGTGGGTAAAAATGTTCATCTATGGGTGGATGTGAAGGGGCTGGCTGAGTGAGGTGCAGTGATTTTCAGCTTGAGTAAATGTGCAGTGATGTAGCCTTCGTGTAGCTCTGTCACCTGTGATTGTTGTCAGCAAAGATTTGCAGGGATTGTGAGTAGCCAAAACCATGAGTGTCTGCATTAGTAGTGAGAGCTGTTGGGATTTTTGGTGATGAAGACTGCTGAAGTTCTCCTGATCTCTTTCTTCCATGGAGAAGTTGTGGCTCAGGGGACCCCTCTTAGCACCAGATCTGCCTTGTGGGTACCTTGGCAGTTGGAGCGGCACTAGTGTCTGATCTGTGGTGCCTGTATAGTGGCCATAGCCTGGGTCTGGACCATGGGCATGTGTGGAAAAACTGTGGCTACTGGATTTGGGGCAGTAGAGGCACAAGGGCCTGGGTTGCAAGCACTTCCACTGCCACATTTGTAACAGTGAGAGGTATGGGTGTTTGTGGACCAGTTGCAGAGCCAGGGTCCAGCATGGAGTATATGCAAGCTTATTGCTGCTCTGGGGACTAAGCCACAGACATTTGCTGCAGCAATAGTTCCGTGTTTGCAGTATAAGGCCTCATATAGTAGCAACAGAGCCAGAGTCTGGGGAGCAAGCACATGCAGAGTGACAGTCGATTTAGGGTCTAGGGTGCAGGCTAGCTCACTGTGTTGGTGGCTCTAATGTCTGTGGTGTGGCTCTAGGGTCCAGGGTTCAGGGTAGCTCACTGTGGCAGTGGCTCTCATATCTGAGACATGAGCATTCATGAAATGAGAAGACAGCTGGGGCCTGGACTGCAGTTGCATGCAAAGAGACTATGGCTCCAGGGCCTGCAGTGCAGTCTAGCTCACTGTGGATGTGGCTAAGATGCTCAAGGCATAGGTGCTTATGTAGCAGTGGCAGAGCTAGGGTCTGCAGCACAGGCATGTACATAGAAATCACACCTCAAGAGTCTGGAGTGGGCTGGGCACAGTGGCTCACACCTGTAATCCCAGCACTTTGGGAGGCTAAGACGGGCAGATCACCTGAGGTCAGAAGTTTGAGATCAGTCTGACCAAGATGGTGAAAACCCATCTCTACTAAAAATATAAAATTAGCTGGGTGTGGTAGTGCACACCTGTAATCCCAGCTACTCAGGAGGCTGAGGCAGGAGAATCACTTGAACCTGGGACGCGGAAGTTGCAGTGATCTGAGATGATGCCACTGCACTCAAGCCTGGGCAACACAATGAGAGTGTCTCAAAAAAAAAAAAAAAAAAAAAGCCTGGAGCAGTGTTATTCCACAGCAGTGGTGGCTTCATTGTCTGAGGCACAAGTACATGTGTGCCACAGAACAGGGATGCGGAGCATAGACACATGGAGAAGCCATGAAGTCCTAGGCACACACAGGGTTGGGGATTGGTGGTGGTCCAACAGTGGATTTTTCTTGGAGTGGGGGCACAGTAGCATCTCCCTATCCAGTATGTTGCAACAGTGATGGCTGTTGGCTACCTCAGTGAAAGCTTCCAGTGTCCTTGGCAGAGAAGGCCGCTGGAGACCATGGTGGCATTCGTTGCCTGCTTGATAACCATAGCCCCCATCTTTCTTCTTTGTTCCTAGCCATTGCCAGGTGTTTCAGGTATGCCAATCTTCCCAAAAATCATTTCTGTGCAGTTATTCTGTTTTTTCCTCCACTACAAGTTTTTACTTGAACCCTCCCAAGGCTATTTCCATTGGTCAACAGATGTGTAATTGTTTTTTGTGTGTGAGGGAATAAAGAGTGGTGTCTCTTACCCCACCATTTTCCTGACATTACTCCCTTGGCCAATCTCAGATTAATCATAAGTGAGGATTAAACATACACTGGGAAAATAAATGAAATAAATTGCCAGCATAACATCTTTGCTTCCCTCAATTTAGATTGATAAATTTATGGGATGGTTGTTTTTGGTAAATGTTGGTATTTCTAAGGTCTTTAAAAAGTGTCAGAGTTTTGACTAAGCAAAATTCCTACTCTTAGGATACATCTAGCTTCCTGTAGGTTATGAAATAGGCTGCTTGTGAAATATGATAAGTGGGTGGCATGGCTATCTCCTAACAAGAGCACTCCTGGCATTTAAACAAGGTTGCCATTACAAACACATTAAAGAATACGTCATCCCGGAGATAAAGATTCATTCTTGAATATTGCTAATTAAAGCTTCTTTACTACTCTATAATCAGTTGAACCTATATCCCAGCAAATTAAAAAAAAAAGTTTAGATGTGACACATTCCAATAATGAATCACATACTCTGACAGAGTTCTCTCAATAAGTTTAGACTAGCTTTTACCCTCCTTTGTCAGGATGAGACAAGGATAATAAAAAATGTTGCATTTTTAACTAAAAGACCACTCTGAAATGTTAGAACTAGTATTTCTTTTATTAAATAGTTGCTTTCAAACATGATAACATGTAATACAACTTTAATTTTTGTAAAGAAATTCAAGAAAGGATTAAAATTCTAAGTAGATGGAGACAATTGAAAGATTGTGAGATCAACAAACTTATTTGGAAATTTAACAAAAACTAAGAACGCTTTATTTCAAAAGTATAATCAGGACAATTAAAAGCTAATTAATCATGGCAGAAATTGTATTTATGGGTTAAAAGAAAAGCTAGAGAGATTATCTTAGAAATAATAGGAAAAGTACAACAATAAAAATTACATGGGATACTCAAGAAAGAGGAGCATCTCACAATCCCCCAAGCTTGTGAATAGCAGCAGAAGCATTGACTCATTATGAAAGCCAATGAATCAACATCAACAAATAGAGCCCTTAGAAGTCACCATTGCTGTCTTTACAATAAGAACATGTTGCACTCAATGAAAAGCAATGACTTTTCTTGAACCCATTAGAGACCTGAGGTTGCAGGGAAACTATCACCTCAATTTCAAAAACGACAGGCACATGTGCTGTCTTCTTACACATGGCAGAAGATGCTGGAGCTATCAACCCTTAAATTGACAAGTTGCTGGAGTTTACATGTGAATTAGTGTTACAAGTTAGAAATTCCTAGGGAATGCAGTGTTAGGAGACCTTCCACATTCATGGGCTTTACTTTCGGGAACACTACCAGAAAGATCTCCTTATGGCTCTCACAAAGAGAAGGGAAGAGTAATCACTATAAAATATACCCAGTCCCTTCCCCATTATGAAGTTCTACTCTCCAAGTAACTTACCTACAGAACAAAGAAAAAATTATGGTAGACTTTTCATGCAAGCAAGAAAAAAATGGGTAAAATATTTAAAATATTTTTAAAGCCAGCAACCTAAACTTCTAGATCTAGCAAAATTACTCATCAAAATGTTGAGTAATATCATCAAAAGTGAAGGAAAAATATTTTTTCAGACAAATAATATCTGAGATAAATCATTTCCTACACATGTACCTTGTAAGAAATGTTAAAACAAGTTTTTGAGGTAGAAGAAAAATTATATGGATTAGATATTGAGTCCACATAAAAGAAAAAGAAATAAAGGTAAAATAGAATTTTTAATTTTCTTATTGTAAATTGATCTAAAACATAACGGTTTGAAGAATTGTAACAATGTACTAGGTGATTAAAACATAGATAAATAAGTGAAAATAATATCACAAAGGATGGGAGAAAGAGATTGCGGTAATTCTGTTCTAAGCTACCTATACTACATGTCAAACAGTATTGTATTTCCTAAAAATGGATCTAAATTAGTTTAAAATATGTGTTATAAAACAGAGGGAAAAACTCACTAAAAATTATTTTTAAGGATAAAAGATAAGCTAGGAAAGGAGATGAAATAATGTAAAATAATAGCAGAGAAGGCAGAAAAAGAGGAAATATAAAGAATAAATGCAATGAACAGAAAACCATTAAAACATGGCGGACATTAATTGAACTGTGTTACCAATCACTTTAAATGTGAATAGTCTAAAATACATTGATTAAAACACAGAGAATGTCAGACTGAATTTTTTAAAAAAGATTCAAGTACTTACTATCTGCAAAAATGTTTCTTACACCTAAAGTCTTGGATATTTTCAAAGCAAAAGAATTGAGAAAAATATACCAAATAACAGCCATAAAAACCCCTGCATTGTTCAAGGGTCAGCTGTAATTGAGAAACTTTCATGTAGACTGAAACTGAAAGAAGAGATGTCAGGAGATAATAAGTATCACAAATGAAAAAATTCAATATAGACCTTATAGATATTTTTAAAGTAATACTGTGAATAATTTTTTGCTATTTAATTGTGTAACTAAGGTAAAGTTGATAAATTCATTGATATAAGAAACAGAAAATATAAATAGGCTTTCAAGTATTAAAATGAATTGGTAACTTAAAACATCTTTATAATAAAAAATCCAGACTGTAATGTCTTAACTGTTGAATTACATCAAATATTTAAGGGGAAAATTTAATATCAATATATTCCTACATAAAGTCTCTTAGAAAATAGTAGAGAAGAAAACACTCCCTGACGCATTTTATGAGGCATTACCCTAATTTTTTTTAAAAAAGTCAAATAAAAACAGACAATTTAATCAAGTTAACAGACAATCCAAAAACTATAGACGAATATTTTTCACAAACATAAAGATATTTATCAAAATTATAGCTAATTGAATCCAGAAATAGAAGCATGATAATACAATGTGAGTGGATTGAATATTAAATTGGTTAACATTCAAAGAATCAATTCATTATACTGATAAAATAAAAACATGTATAACCATTTTAAAATAGCAGAAAAGGCATGAAACAGAAATTAACATGTAATCATGGTTAAACTCTCAGAATAACAGCAGCAGAAACGACCTTGTTCACCTTAATCAAAGATACATGCAAAAAATCTGCAACATAAAAAAATGATTTTTGTTCTAAGACTTTACAAAAAAGAGGGATGTTCACTCTCACTCTTTGTAGTTTGTAATGTACTAAGAGCATGAAATGGTGCAATAAGAAAAGAAAGGTATCTAAAAGCATAAGATGGTAAGGGAAGAAGTAAAAGTGTCTTTCTTTGTAGAAGACTTAGTTGTACACAGAAAATCCTAAAGAATCCATAAAAAGTGCTACTAGAACTAATAATTCAGCAAGACTTAGGAATATAAGATCAAGGAAACTCTCTTACTATATACTAACTAGAGTTAGTGTATATATAGCATATACTAACTCTATACTAACAGAGAACAATTTTGGAAATTAAAATGTAAAGCAACACCATTTAAAACAGTAGAAAAACAATGAAATTATATGAAATTTAACAAAATGTGTACCAAACCATTTTACTGAAAACTCTAAGATATTTATGAGAGAAATTCAAGAAGCTCTATATAAATGGAAGGATATAATATGCTCATGGTTCATAAGACACAGTATTTTGAGATGTCAAATCTACTCAAATTAATAACCTCAATAAAAATTCCAGCAAGCTTTTTGAAGATACTAATAAATTGAATGGGTACCAAAAAAACAGAAAGAATAAGATCTACTATTTGATAGTACAACAGGGGAATATAGTCAATAACTTAATTGTATTTTAAATAAATTATGTATTTTAGGTAAATTTTGAATAAGACTATAATTGGTTTGTTTGTAACTCAAAGGATAAATGCTTGAGGGGTGGATACCCTCTTGCCCATGAAGTTATTATTACACATTGCATGCCTGTATCAAAACATCCCATGTACCCAATAAATATATATACAACTACTATGTACCCACGAAAATTAAAAATAAATAGATTCTAAGTTTACTTGCACATCCAAAAAACCTGGAATATCCAAATTAATTTTGAAAAAGAACAAAGATAAAGTAATCATGCTACCTAATTTCAATAATTATTATAAAGTTAAGTAGTGAAGAGAATGTGACATTAGAAATGAATAAACATAAATCAAGAAAATAGAGTACAGAAATAGATCCATATATATTTGTTAATTTATGGCCAAAAACACCCCAGGGTATTTAATGTGGAAAAAAGAGTTTCTAACAAATGGTGCTAGAACAACTAAATATCCATATGAAAAAAAAATGCATAAATAACTTTGATCCTTCCTTTACTGCATGTGTAGAAATTACCTTAAGATGGAACATAGAGTTAGATGTAAAGGCTAAAATTGCAAAACTTTAGAAGAAAACACAGATAAAAAATTCTTTGCAACATTGGAAGTAGACAAAGATTTTTAGATAGGATACAAAAGCCCACATTATAAAAAAATTAAATGTGTTTATCAAAATTTAAAACATCTACTTTGTCAAAGGTATTGTTAAAAAAAATACAAACAAGCCAGAAGTTGGTATAAAATTTGTTAATGCATATGTCTGACAAAGAACTTTTAGCCAGAAAATACAAAGAACTCTTGCAACTCAGAAAAAAAAAAAAAGACAAACCCCAATTTTATTTTATTTTTTATTCTACTTTAAGTTCCAGGATACAAGTGCAGAACATGCAGGTTTGTTGCACAGGTATATGTGTACCATCATGGTTTCCTGCACCTATCAACTCATTATCTAGGTTTTAAGTCCCGCATGCATTAGCTATTTGTCCTAAGGCTCTCCCTCCCCTTGTCTCCCACCCGTCGATTGGCCCCAGTGTGTGTTGTTCCTCTCCCTCTGTCCATGTGTTCTCATTGTTCAGCTCCCACTTGTGAGTGAGAACATGCGGTTTTCTGTTCCTGTGTTAGTTACCTGAGGATGATGGCTTCCAGCTCCATCCATGTCCCTGCAAAGGACATGATCTCATTCCTTTTTATGGCTGCATAGTATTTATTGGTGTATATGTACCACATTTTCTTTATTCAGTCTATCATTGATCAGCATTTGGGTTGATTCCATGTTTTTGCTATTGTAAATAGTCCTGCAATTAACATACGTGTGCATGTGTCTTTACAGTAGAATGACTTATTTTCCTTTGACCCAGGAAATGGGATTGCTGGGTCAAATGGTATTTCTGGTTCTAGATCCTTGAGGAATTTCCACACTGTCTTCTGTAATGGTTGAACCAATTTATATTCCCACCAACAGTGTAAAAGCATTCCTATTTCCCCACAGCCTCACTAGCATCTGTTGTTTCTTGACTTTTTAATAATCACCATTCTGACTGGCATGAAATGTTATCTCATTGTGGTTTTGACTTGCATTTCTCTATCAGTGATGATGAGATTTCATATGTTGTTGGCAGCATAAATGTCTTCTTTTGAGAAGTGTCTGTTCATATCCTTTGCCTACTTTTTGATGGGGTTGTTCTTTTCTTGTAAATTTAAGTTCCTTGTAGATTCTGGATATTAGACCTTTGTCAGACAGGTAGCTTGCAAAAATTTTCTTCCATTCTGTAGGTTGCCTATTCACTCTGATGATAGTTTATTTTGCTGTGAAGAAGCTCTTTAATTAGATCCCATTTGTCAATTTTGGCCATTGTTGCCATTGCCTTTGGTGTTTTTGTCATGAAGTCTTTGCCTACACCCATGTCCAGAATGGTATTGCCTAGGTTTTCTTCTAGGGTTTTTATGGTTTGGGGTTTTACATTTAAGTCTTTACTCCATCTTGAGTTAATTTTTGTATAAGATGTGAGGAAGGGGTCCAGTTTCAATTTCCTTAATATGGCTAACCAGTTTTCCCAGCACCATTTATTAAATAGGGAATCCTTTCCTCATTGCCTTTTTCTGGTTTCTCAAAGATCAGATGGTTGTAGATGTGTGGTGTTATTTCTGAGGTCTCTATTCTGTTCCATTGGTCTATATGTCTGTTTTGGTACCAATACCATGCTGTTTTGATAACTGTAGCCTTGCAGTGTAGTTTGAAATCGAGCAGAATGATGTCTCCATTTTTGTTCTTTTTGCTTAGGATTATCTTGGCTATATGGGCTCTTTCTTGGTTCCATATGAAATTTAAACTGGTTTTTTCTAATTCTGTGAAGAATGTCAATGGTAATTTGATGGGAATAGCATTGAATCTATAAATTACTTTGGGCAGTATGGCCATTCTCACGATATTGATTCTTCCTACCTGTGAGCATGGAATGTTTTTCCATTTGTTTGTGTCCTCTCTTATTTCCTTGAGCAGTGGTTTGTAGTTCTCCTTGAAGAGATATTTCACATCCCCTTTCAAGTTCTATTCCTATGTATTTTATTCTCTTTGTAGCAGTTGTGAATGGGGGTTCACTCATGATTTGGCTGTCTGCTTGTCTATTGTTGGTGCATAGAAATTGTGTTTTTTGCACATTGATTTTGTATACTGAGACTTTGCTGAAGTTGCTTATCCACTTAAGGAGTTTTTGGGCTGAGATGATGGGGTTTTCTAAATAAAGAATCATGTCATCTGCAAAGAGACAGAATTTGACTTCCTTTCTTCCTATTTGAATATCCTTTCTTTCTCTTGCCTGTTGCCCTAGCCAGAACTTCCACTACTATAGTGAATAGGAGTGGTGAGAGAGAACATATCCTTGTCTTGTGCTGGTTTTCAAAGGGAATGCTTCCAGCTTTTGCCCATTCAGTATGATATTGGTTATTGGTTTGTCATAAATGGCTAATATTTTGAGATATGTTCCATAAATACCTAGTTTATTGACAGCTTTTAACATGAAGTGGTGTTGAATTTTATCAAAGGCCTTTTCTGCATCTATTGAGATGATCATGTGGTTTTTGTCATTGGTTCTGTTTATATGATGATTTACGTGTATTGATTTGCCTATGTTGAACCAGCCTTGCATCCCAGGGTTGAAGCTGACTTGATAACTGAATAAGCTTTTTGATGTGCTGCTGGATTCAGTTTGCTAATATTTTATTGAGGATTTTTACACTGTCATTCATCAGGGATATTGGCCTGAAGTTTTTTGTTGTTATGTCTCTGCCAGGTTTTGGTATTAGGATGATACTTGGCCTCATAAAATGAGTTAGGGAGGAGTCCCTCCTTTTTAATTGCTTGGTATAGTTTCAGAAGGAATGGTACCAGCTCTTCTTTGTATCTTTGGTAGAACTCTGCTGTGAATCCATCTGTTCCTGGGTGTTTTTTGGTTGGCAAGCTATTAATTACTGCCTCAATTTTGGAACTTGTTATTGGTCTATTCAGGGATTCAACTTCTTCCTGGTTTAGTCTCAGGTGGGTGTACATGTCCAGGAATTTATCCCTTTCTTCTAGGTTTTCTAGTTTATTTGCATAGAGCTCTTTATTTTGTGGGATCAGTTGTGATATCCCCTTTATTATTTTTTATTGTGTCTATTTGATTCTTCTCTATTAGTCTAGCTAGTAATCTATGTTGTTAATTTTTCCAAAAAGCAGCTCCTGGATTCATTGATTTTTTGAAGGGTTTTCCTATCTCTATCTCCTTCAGTTCTGCTCTTAGTTATTTCTTGCCTTCTGCTAGCTTTTGGATTCGTTTACTGTGTTCCTCTAGCTCTTTTAATTGTGATAATTAGGGTGTCAATTTGAGATCTTTCTAGCATTCTGATGTGGGCATTTAATGCTATAGATTTCCCTCTTAACACTGCTTTAGCTATGTCCCAGAGATTCTGGTACATTGTCTCTTTGTTCTCATTGATTTCAAAGAACTTCTTATGTCTTAATTTCATTATTTACCCAGGAGTCATTCAGGAGCACGTTGTTCAATTTCCATGTAGTTGTGTGGTTTTGAGTTTCTTAATCGTGACTTCTAATTTGATTGCACTGTGGTCTGACAGACTTATGATTTCAGTTCTTTCGTATTTGCTGAGGAGTGTTTTCCTTCCAATTATGTGGTCAATTTTAGAATAAGTGTCATGTGGCACTGAGAAGAATGTATATTCTGTTGATTTGGGGTGGAGAGCTCTGTAAATGTCTATTAGTTCCACTTGATCCAGAGCTGAGTTCAACTCCTGAAGATCCTTGTTAATTTTCTGCCTCGTTGATCTAATATTGGCAGTGCAGTGTTTAAGTCTCCCACTATTATTGTGTGGGACTCTAAGTCTCTTTGTGGGTCCTCTAAGAACTTTCTAAGAACTTGTTTTATGAATCTGGGTGCTCCTGTACTGGGTACATATGTATTTAGGATAGTTAGCTCTTCTTGTTGAATTGATCCCTTTACCATTATGTAATGCCCTTCTTTGTCTTTTTTGATCGTTGTTGATTTAATGTCTGGTTTGTGTCAGAGACTAGGATTGCAAAACTCCTGCATTTTTTTTTATTTCCATTTGCTTGGTAAATTTTCCTCCATCTGTTTGAGCCTATATGTGTCTTTGCACATGAGATGGGTCTCCTGAATACAGCACACTGACGGGTCTTGACTCTTTATCCAATTTGCCAGTCTGTCTTTTACTTGGGACATTTAGCTCATCTACATTTAAGGTCAATATTGTTCTATGTGAATTTGATCCTGTCATCATGATGCTGTCGGGTTATTTGGCCCACTGGTTGATGCAGTTTCTTCATGGTGTCATTGGTCTTTATATTTTGGAGTGTTTTTGCAGTGGCTGGTACCAGTTTTTCCTTTCCATATTTTGTGCTTCCTTCAGAATCTCTTGCAAGGCAGGCCTGGTGGTGATGAAATCCCTCAGCATTTGCTTGTCTCAAAAGGATTTTATTTCTCCTTCACTTACAAAGATTAGTTTGGCTGGATATGAAATTCTGGGTTGAAAATTATTTTAAGAATGTAGAATATTTGCCCCCACTCTCTTTTGGCTTGTAGGGTTTCTGCTGTGAGGTCTGCTGTTAGTCTGATGGGCTTCCCTTTGTAGGTGACCTGGCCTTCCTCTCTGGCTGCCCTTAACATTTTTTCCTTCGTTTTGACCTTGGAGACTCTGATGATTATGGGTCTTGGGGTTGATCTTCTCATGGAGCATCTTAGTGGCATTCTCTGTATTTCCTGAATTTTAATGTTGGCCTGTCTTGCTAGGTTGGGAAGTTCTCCTGGATAATATCCTCAAGTATGTTTTCCAACTTAGTTCTATTCTTCCTCTTTCAGGTGCTCCAATCAATCATAGGTTTGGTCTTTTTACATAGTCCCGTATTTCTCAGAGGTTTTGTTTGTTCCTTTTTTTTTTTTTTTTAATCTTATCTGCATGTCTTATTTCAGCAAATTGGTCTTCAAACTCTGATATCCTTTCTTCTGCTTGGTCATGCTGTGTTTTTCAGCTCCATCAGGTAATTTATGTTCCTCTCTAAATTAGTTATTCTAGTTAGCAGCTCCTGTAACATTTTATCAAGGTTCTTAATTTCTTTGCAATGGGTTAGAACATGCTCCTTTAGCTCAGCAGAGTTTGTTATTACACACCTTCTGAAGCCTACTTCTATCAGTTCATCCATCTTATTCTCCCTCTGGTTCTGTGCCCTTGCTGGAGAGGTGTTGCAATAATCTGGAGAAGAGAAGGCACTCTGGCCTTTTGGATTTTCAGCAGTTTTTCATTGATTCTCATCTTCATGAGTTTGTCTAGTATCAATCTTTGAGGCTGCTGACACTTGGAATGGGTTTTTCTTTGTGGGGACTTTTTTGTTGATGCTGTTTGTTGTTGCTTTGTTTTCCTTGCAATGATCAGGTCCCTCTCTGTAGGACTGCTGTGGTTTGCTGGGGGTTCACCTCACGCCCTATTCATCTGGTTCACTCCTGCACCTGGAGATGTCACTCAAGGAGGCCGGAGAACAGCAAAGATGGATGCCTCCTTCTTCCTCTGGGATCTCTGACCTCGAGGGGCACCAACCTTATGTCAGTAGGAATGCTCCTATATAGGGTATCTGACAACTCATTGGAGGGTCTCATCCAGTTGGGTGGCACAGGAAGCAGGACCCATTTAACAAAGCACTTTGACTGTCCCTTGGTGAAGGGGGTGTGCTTTGCTGGGTGGAAACCCACTCATCAGGGCTGCCTGGATTCCTCAGAACTAGCAGGAGGAAAGACTAAGTCTGCTGCTCCTTGGAGACTGCGCCTCCCCTTACCCCTAGGGGCTCAGGCCCAGAGAGATCAGAGTTCTGTCCCTGAGCCCCTGGCTGGAATTACTGGAGTTCCTGCAGGGAAGTCCCACCCACTGAAGAGGGATGGGTCAGGGTCAGGCCTGAAGAGGCACTCTGTCCACAGTCTCCCACAGCCGGTGTGTTGGACCGTGGGGGATAGCTCTTGTGACCATGCTGTCCAGCCTTTCTAGTTCCAGCAGGAAAAAAGCACAGCCTGAAGCTATAGAGATGGCTGCTGCCCCTCCCCGACCCTGGGAACTTAGTATGTTAGGCAGCTATCAGTCCCAGTGTTAACTGTCACCCCTCCCCCAAGGAGCTCAAACAGCTTAGACAGCAGGCAGCTGCAGCTGTGGTGCTGTTCACTCCTCCCACTGGGAGCTGGGCAGGTTTAAACCTATTCTAGCTTGGTGGCTGTTGAGAATCTGCACAGCTCCGTGGCTGGGATCCTAGGCCCCTGTGGCATGGGCTTGCGAGTGGGATCTTCTGATCCGTGGGTTGCACAGTTCCATGGAAAAAGCATGTTTTCCCAGGCTGGGTAGCATGCTCACTCACCACCTCCCCTGGCCGGGGGATCCCCTGAGCCCTGTGTGGCTCTCAGTTGGGCCACCGCACCACACTGCTCTTCCTCCCTTCTCCATGGGTCATGTCAGATGCCTAGTCAGTTCTGATGACAGAACCTGGATACCTCAGTTGCCAGTCCAGGATTTGCATTCTGTTATGTTTCTTTTTGATGGGAGCCTTCAATTGCCACTGCTTCTAATGGGCCATCTTGGCCCCATCAAAGTCAAAACCCCAGTTTTAAAAATGAGCAAAGATTTGAACAGATAGCTCACAAAAGAAAATACATAAATTGCCAATAACCACAGGAAAATCATTAGACATCATGAAAATTCAAAGTAAAACCGTAGTGTAGTACTGCACTCTGTATTAATTCGTTTTCATACCACTATAAAGAACTGCCTAAGGCCGGGCGCGGTGGCTCACGCCTGTAATCCCAGCACTTTGGGAGGCCGAGGCGGGCGGATCACGAGGTCAGGAGATCGAGACCATCCTGGCTAACATGGTGAAACCCCGTCTCTACTAAAAATACAAAAAAAAAATTAGCCAGGCGTGGTGGTGGGCGCCTGTAGTCCCAGCTACTCGGGAGGCTGAGGCAGGAGAATGGCGTGAACCCGGGAGGCGGAGCTTGCAGTGAGCCGAGATCGCGCCACTGCACTCCAGCCTGGGCGACAGAGCGAGACTCCATCTCAAAAAAAAAAAAAAAAAAAAAGAACTGCCTGAGACTGGGTAATTTAGAAAGGAGAGAGGTTTAATTGACTCACAGTTCACCATGGCTGGGGAGGCCTCAGGAAACTTACAATCATGCTGGAAGGCGAAGGGGAAACAAGGCACCTTCTTCACAAGGTGGGAGGAAGGACAAGTGCGGAGTGAGAGGAAGAGCCCTTTATAAAAACCATCATACTATATCCCATGAGAACGCACTATCATGAGAACAGCATGGAGAAAACTGCTCCCATGATTCAATTATCTTCACCTGTTCTCTCCCTTGACATATGGAGATTATGGGGATTACAATTCAAGATGAGATGTGGGTGGGAACACAAAGCCTAACCATATCACACCCCCAATAAAATGGTTAAAAAATTTCAAATGACAGTACTCAGCACTGAGGAGAACATGAAGTAACTCAAATTCTTATTCATTGCAGGTAAGGCTGTAAAATAGTATAACAACTTTGAGAAACAGTTTAGCTATTTCTTATAAACACACACTTTCCATATGAGCCAACATGTCAACTTCTAGATAATTATGCAAGAGTAATGAAAACATATGTCCACACAAATACTTAAATATCAATATCTATAAGCAGTTTTATTGAAAAACTAGAACAATCTAAATGTCCATAGATGAATGGATTTTTTTTTTATTTTCAACTTTTCTAGACTCATGAGGTACATATACAGGTCTTTTCACATGGATATATTGTATGATGCTAAGATTTTGAGTATGAATGATCCTGTTACTGAGGGAGTAAGCACAGTACCCAATAGGTCATTTTTTTAGGACAAATTTTGATATATTTAACAAAATGGAACACTGCTAAGCACTAAAATATAACCAAACCCGATACAAAAGAGTAATACTCCACTGTATGGGTACACTTATATAAATCTGTAGAAACAACAAATCTGATCAATATTTGTATAAAGTGGGTCATTGGTCACCTGGGGACGAGATGCAGAAGGAATTTTCTAGGAATGGGCCCAAGGGCCCACTTGGCATGAAAGAAATACTATTCTATATCTCGATAGTGGTGTTGTTTACATGGTTCAAACCATATGAAATACGTCAGTTTTATAGTATATGAATTACACATCAAAAAATTAGAAAGCCAAACAATTAACAAAAAAGACAGTAGGCCCATAAAATTTAACAAGTATTGCGTAAACTCAAGGAAAGTCAAGTCTTTATGATATATAAGCACTTTTAAAATGCAGGAAAAGATTGAAGGGATTCAAATAATTCTGAGTTCAGTAGCAATCTCAAATTCCAAACTCAAAGGAACGTATCAATAAAAAGAAAACTGAAGTCAGAGGCCAACAAGAGTGGATCACAAACTGATTCCTGCCAATGACTGTGTTTTCTGTAACTGCAAAGGATTTGTAGGTTGACATCATTAATTGACATCAATTGCTTTTGATGACTTAGCCATAAATTCTTTGTCAAGATCAATCTAGAGAAGGATATTTCCTACATTTTCTTCTAGAATTATTTTTTACAGTTTCAGCTCTTACATTTAAGTCTTTAATCCATTTTGAGATAATTTTTGTATATGGTGATAGGCAGAGGTCAAGTTTCACTCTTCTGCATATGGATAGCAAGTTATCCCAGCACTATTTATTGAATAGGGAGTCTTTTCCCCAATGCTTATTTTTGTTGACTTTGTCAAATATCAGATGATTATTTCTGGGTTCTCAATCGTGTTCCATTGGTCTATGTGTCGTTTTTGTACCAGTACCATGCTGTTTTTGTTACTGTAAACTTGCAGTATAGTTTGAGGTCAGGTAATGTGATACCTCTGGCTTTGTTATTTTGGCTTAGGATTTAAAATATGCAAAAGACTTTAAACAGGAGCAAAAGAGAAATTCTAACTAGCCACTGAGCATGTGAAAAGGTGCTCAAAATCAGTATTCATTTGGGAAATGTAAATTAAATCCATAATGGTATATCTTTATGAACATACCCAGGATACCTATAATCAAAGATTGACAGCACCATTAAGTCAATGAGAAAGTGAATAAATTAGAACTCTCTTAAATTTTTGGTGGGAATGTAAGCTGGTTTTAAACACTTTGGAAAATTGTTTGGCAGTGTCTTCTAAAGCTTAATATATGCCTATCTCAATAATCTACAATTCCACTCATTGGAATTGAGTGGAATAACCAACAATTCCACTCATTGATATGTGTATGCGTGTGTGTCTGTGTGGGTGGGTGTGTGCGTATACATACACGAGGAATTTCTGCCCACGTCCACCAGGGGGGAAAGTATGTGCAAGGTGCTCATAGAAGTTTTATTCATAATAGCCAAAATCTTTAACTGAAATAGCCATCAATGGTAGCAAGCATTTAAAAATTATAATATATTCATACTATGAATATAATGAAATACTATACAGTAACTTTTTAAAACTGAATTCAAGCAACTACATGGATGACTCTCGTAGTTAAAATTCAAGGCAAAAGAAGCCAGACACAAAAGCCAACATATGGGAAGATTCCATTTACAAAAGGTCAAGAACATGTAAAACTAACCTATGGTAATAGGAGTCAGAATAGTGGCTACCCTCATGAGTCATTGTGGAAGGAGAAAAGATATTTACTCAAAAGGTTCATGGCAGCATTTCTGGGCTATAGAAATGTTCTGTACTTTAATCTCACTGATAGTTACCTGATATATTATAAATTTCATCAATCTGTACACCAAAGATATATGTGCTTTATACACTGCATTGTTTATATTTTAGATCCCAGTGAAAAGAAAAATACTTTTCACTCTAAAATGTATACAGTATAATACTTTTAGAATCAGACTAAATATTCTTTTTTTAAAAAAATTGCCTACATATTTCCAGAAGGCAGAAGGAAGAAGAATATTTGTTGTTTAAGATCTAGACTAGAACTAGCTCTTACTAGCCAAGTGCCTTTCAGAAAGCAAATGGCTTTGTCGAAACCAAGTTACTTTGCAAAAGCCATTCACTTCTGTATCCATGCAATAAGGTAATAAATCCTACACTGACCTTGTGCAAATCAAGCAAGATTAGTGTGAAAGTGTTTGCATATTCTCAAACCTTATTAGTATAATATATACACAGTAGTGCATATATTAGTATATATATAATACTGTTCATTTTTTCCAAAGTCCGTCACTAACCAAAAAGTAGTATTATAAAACAGATTATCATTTTAATCAAGAAATATTATCTTAATCTTTCATGAAAGGAAATATAACAAATGATTTTAATACTTTCTTGTATTTAAATGCTATCAAGTAGAAAATAAGTCACATAGAAAGTTATATAATTATTTCCATAAATTCTATCCTTATGCCACATATTAGAGTGTGAGCTATTTGAGGAAATGAACTGCATGTTATTAATCTTATATTCCCACACTGTACCTAGCACAGTGCCTGGAATTCAGTCAGGCCTTATAATTGATAAGTGAAATAAGACAGTCACAAAAAGAAATGCTTCATGATTCTACTTATATGAAATACCTAAAATGATCAAATTCATAGTATCAGTCCAGGCAAGTTGGCTCATGCCTGTAATCCCAGCACTTTGAGAGGCTGAGGCAGGTGGATCACCTGAGGGCAGGAGTTCGAGACCAGCCTGGTCAACATGGCGAAACCCCGTCTCTACTAAAAATACAAAAATTAGCTGGGTGTGGTGGTGGTGCAAACCTATAATTCCATCTACCCAGAGACTGAAGCAGGAGAATCACTTGAACCTGGGAGGTGGAGGTTGCAGTGAGCCAATATCACGCCACTGAACTCCAGCCTGGGCCACAGAGCGAGACTCCATCTCAAAAATAAATAAATAATAAATAAAATTTTTTAAAAATTCATAGAATCAAAGAGTGGAATGGTGGCTGCCAGTGTCTAGGGTGAGGGGAAAATGGAGACTTACTAATCGATGGTCATAAAGTTTCAGTTAAATGAGATTCATAATTCTAGAGATCTGCTGTACAACATTGTACCTACAGGCAACAATACCATATTGTACACTTAAAATTTGTTAACAGGGTAGATCTCATGCTAAGTGCTCTTAACACAATAAAATATAATTTTTTAAAAAGAGAATTTTAAAAATAAATGAACCACTTTAATCTGCCTTTGACTTAATTAATCTTCATGTTCTCAGCTATCTTCCTATCTTCCTTCTTTTATGTCACTCTTGCTTTTTCCATTTTCACAATTAACTTAAATCAGCTTACATCATTTGGGATACTTTGATTTTTTCTTAAGACTGCCTAGTAAATATCACTAAGAACTCAAGAGCTTCTCTAAAAATATCTGCAAGAGAATATTGGGTTAGAAAATTAGCATGACTTTAAAAGAAAACAAACATCCTTTTGCTATAAAATTATACATTTTCTATGTAACGAAGGCAAACACTACCTTATACTACAATGAAGTCTGGTGACTTGCTGCCAAGTCCCAGAGGAGGTATCGGAGAGGGTTTCTGACCTGGTATGTTGAGTTCATCAAGGCATACACTGCAGGTTTTACTTAAAATCCAAAACTTGCATAGCTCTAGAAGTCAACCCCTACTTGAACTAAAGCATTGATTAAGGATAAGCTGGGTTCCTTCCAAGTAACTTTGTTAGATTCTGGGTTCCACCCAAACTATGTTTATATCTTCAATTTCTCTTTCATTCTTCTTGCCGCACCCATACACATGCGCACACTCGTGCACATACATACACACACACACCCCATCCCTGGCATCTACACAATGGTAGGCATAGGTGGTACATGCTTCTTGACCTTTCTGCCACATTCTCACTTATTTCTGCACAGCTCAATTTAACTTTTTGTTACTCATAAGGCATTCTCCTTATTTTAAAATTCCTATGGGTCTATCTTACACACTTTGGGAAAACATCCTTTGAAATAAAAATCTTTGTAGCCTAACAAGAAGGTGGATATTTTCAAAGCCAAAGTTTTAGGTGGACTGATCTGGACTGATGACTTATTCTGGGAGATGAGAGGATAGAAGGAAAGGAAATGTTTGTTGATGCAAGCAGATGTTTTACAAACAATGGTAATGGAAACTCCAAAGATTGTCCATGTTAGTTGTGCCAACTCATTGTATATTAAAAATCTAACTTTCACTGCTATAAAATGACTTATTTTATATTAATAGGAAAATGACTTTGAAGTTATACTCCTTATATTTAGTGTAAGGTTAAAAATAATCTTTTTAATGTTTCCTAATTTTGCAAATGTATTCATTCAAGTAACTCAAGGCTTATTGTGTTAGAAATAACAGGAAATAAATGGAGAACACCATTAACTATGGGCATAACTACTTTTCTTTTAAGAAAAGTTATTCATTTAAAAATATATGTATTACATAATTTCCAAAGTCACCACATCTATAGTTACTTTAAGCATTGACTACAAAATAAAAGATGACTATTATGAATGTGTTCTTATGATACTGAATATTACAAATGAACATGATTACATTTGGAAAATTGCTATATACTTTCTAAATATTAACGAAATATTGACAGCCACTGTTTTTCTGCTTGTGTGCTAAGCAAAATGACATTCACATGAAGTCTAGGCTTCCTTTAAATTTCAGCTATTTTCTAGGAAGGGATATAGACGCTTGATTTTCTTCTCACTAGAGCCTTCAATATGTTCCCAGCAATAAAGGTTTAAAGTTCTTAGGTTGCCTCCTGCCACCCCTCCCCCAAGCATCTGACTTATTTGTGCCTTCCTTTCCTGCTATTTTACTGTATGTTTAGCCCTCCTAGAGCAGCAGTTTCCTTAGCAACAGGCTTGCCCTTTTAGAGGCTCAAACCATGACAGCCGCTTACAGGCAGGCATTCTCCCAGGCCTCTGTGCCGCCTCTCTCCCCTGTCTCCCCCATGAATGCTCAAAGGTCAAAAAGTAAAGTTCATGATGTTTCACTCTTTTCAAACAAAGGGCAGGAGGCTACAACAGGCTGAGAAAAGACATCTGAATGGGAATATCTTACATAAAAGTCACAATCTGAAATTTGTATGGAAAAGAACAGTTTTCACTGAAGACAAGGAAGGTGAGGTGGAAGCAGAGATTATAAAGGATAAAATCTGGAAGGTTGGCTACATGGAAAAACACAGTGGAAACCTCACATGAGCTAGCTGGAAAACAACATAATCTATTCTCCCTTTTCATAGGAATCCCAACATGAGAAGAGATGCTGAGGGTATTCTTGGCCAGTGCAAAACCTGGTACAATAATTAGAACTTAGGGTTCTGTGCCTTAGGTTCTGAGACTTCTTTGTTTAAAATTCATACCTTTTAGATAAGAATTTTAGACATTTTTAAAATGTAATAAAAGAAACAGTCACTGACTGAATTAAGAACCTGGAGACTATTTTGTGCTGTTTTTTGTGTAGAATTTTATTCATTGGGTCATCAAATATTTGTTAAGTGTTTACTATGCGTCAAAGAGTCTTCCATGTCTTAGGTACATCACTGAACAAAACAGATTTTTAAAAAAAAATTTTTTCCTTGAGAATATATTCAAATTTAAATTTATGCTGATGTGGTTAAAACATGGCACTTCTAAGAATTCACAGACAATAACTTCAAATTATATTACAAAGCTATCATAGTTAAAACAGAATGGTACTGGCATAAACATAGATGCACTGACCAGTGGAACAGAATAAAGAGTTCAAAAATCAACCCACACATTTAAGGTCAATTGCTTTTCCACAAAGATGCCAACGATACACAGTGAGAAAATGTCATTTATTGAAAGGATCTTCAATAAATGGTGTCGGAAAAACTGAACAGTAACATGAAGAATGCAATTAGAACCTTACCTCACACCATGTACACATGGTCCCTGACTTACATTGATTTTTATTTTTTGACTTTATGATAGTGCAAAAGCATGTAGAAATCATACTTTGATTTTTGATCTTTTCCCAGGCTAGTGATACGCAGCATGATACTCTCTTGCAGTGCTGGGCAACAGCAAGCCATTCCTGTTTTCATTTCCAGTGCAGTATCCAATAAATCACATGAGATATTAAACAGTGTATTACAAAATAGGCTTTTTGTTAGACAATTTTGCTCAAGTGTAGGCTAATGTGAGTATCTTGAGCATGCTTTTTGTTTTTTTAAGATGGAGTCTTGCTCTGTCGCCTAGGCTGGAGTGCAATGGTGCAATCTCGGCTCACTGCAACCTCTGCCTCCTGGGTTCAGGTGATTCTCCTGCCTCAGCCTCCCAAGTAGCTGAGATTACAGGTATGTGCCACTATGCCCAGGTAATATTTTTTGTATTTTTAGTAGAGATGGGGTTTTACCATGTTGGCCAGGCTGGTCTCAGAACTCCTGACCTCAGGTAATCCGCCTGCGTTGGCCTCTCAAAGTGCTGGGATTGCAGGCATAAGCCACTGCACCCAGCCTCCTGAGCATGTTTAAGGAAGGCTAGGCTAAGCTATGATGTTTACTAGATTAGGTGTAATGAATGCATTTTTTACTTACAATATTTTCAATCTATGATGGGTTAGAGATATAACCCCATCATAGATGATGAAGCATCCATACAAAAATCAACTCAAAATGGATTAAAGACTTAAACATAACATCTGAAACTGTAAAACTAATAGAAGAAAACAGAGAGAAAACTATACAACATTAGACAATGACTTTTTTGTATTTGACCCCAAAATCTCGGGCAAGAAAACCAAAAATAGACAAATGGAATTATATCAAACTCAGTAACATACACACAGCAAAGAAAACAATAGAGTGAAGAGGCAACCTATGGAATGGGAGAAAGTATTTGTAAGCCTTACATCTGATAAGGAGTTAATATCCAAAATATATAAGAAACTCAACTTAATAGCAAGAAGATAAATAACCCAACTTAAAAAAAATGAGCAAAGACTTAAGAAAAGATGTTTGGAGTACTCTCCCAGAAATGAAAAAGATAGTCTCTAAACAAGACATACAAATGGCCAACAGATATGTGAAAAAATGCTCAACATTGCTATTATTAGGAAAATGCAAATTAAAATCACAGTGAGATGCCACCTCACATCTGTTGAAATGGCTATTATTAAAAAGATGAACCATAACAAGTGTTGGTGAGGATGTGGAGAAAAGGGAACCCTTGTACACCGTTGGTGGAAATGTAAATTAGTACAGTATTATGCAAAACAGTACGAATTGTCCTCAAAAAAATAAAAACAGGATTACCATATGATCCAGCAATCCCCCACTTCCCAGTGTATATCCAGAGAATTTGAAATCATTATGTCAAAGAGAAGTCTGCATTTCTGTGTTCATTACAGCATGATTCACAATAGGCAAGTTAAGGAACCAACCTAAATGTCTCATAATCAGATAAAGAAAATGTTGTATATATACCATGGACTACTATTCAGCCTTAACAAGAGAGAAATTATGCCATTTCCAACAACATGGGTGAACCTGGAAGACATTATGCTAAGTGAAATAAGCCAGGCATGGAAAGACAAATATTGTATGTTCTCACTTACATGTGGAATCTAAGGCATTCAAAAGCAGAATGGTCGTTAACAGAGGCTGGGAGTGAGGGAAATGGGGAGATGTCAATCAAAGGGTGCAGTGTTTCAATTAGACAATACATGGTATACATATATTATAGTATCACTTTTACCCCATAAATATATACAATCATAACCTGTCAATATCCAATATAATTTGTTTTTTGAGACACAGTCTTGCTCGGTCACCCAGTCTGGAGTGCACTGGTGCGATCTCAGCTCACTGCAACCTCTGTCTCCCGGGTTCAAGTGATTCTCCTGCCTCAGCCTCCTGAGTAGCTGAGATTACAGGCGCCCGCCACCACGCCTGGCTAATTTTTTATTTTTAAGTAGAGATGGGTTTTCACCATGTTGGCCAGGCTGATCTTGAACCCCTGACCTCAGGTGATCCACCCACCTTGGCCTCCCAAAGTTCTGGGATTACAGGCGTGAGCCACCACACCTAGCCCCAATATACGTTTTTTAAAATAATAAAATTAAAAATTCATAGGTGAAATTGTTCAGGTGCAAACACTACTGCCCTACTTGTACTTCATAATGAGTCAAATGATGGCAAGGCTTAGTTCTATTTGCTCAGTAATTGTACCTTCCTGCCCTAGTGGACAGTCAGATGTACAATTAAAAATCTATGATTTCCATAACATTCTCTATTTAGAAACTGTTAAATCCAAAATCCACACCTCAATTTGAGTTCTAGAATCCAGTACCCTAATCTTTACTATGTATCTTGGATATCGCATGGGTACCTTGGATTAAACCTGCCCAAAACTGAACTCAGCACCTCTTCCCCCAAATCTTATTTCTTCTGGGGTTCTCATATCAGTTAATTACACTATATTCGATCTTTTGTAGCACTGAAACCTAAAGTCAGCCTGTGCTCTTCCCTCTTCTTCATCTTCAATGTGTCATCAAGTCCTGCAGATTCTATTTCTTTAAACTCCCTTGAACCTGTCTACTTTTCATTTGGGTATGATACAACCCCAGTTGTGCCTCTTAACTGGTCTTCCTGCCTCCCTTCTTGCCCTCCCTTTTCAATTCATTTATTAGCTGAAGCCAGCTGAGTCTTACAAAAAGCAAATCTGATTGTGTTCTACCCTATGGTTATGGCCCTCCCTACTGGCCTAGGGACAAATATTTGACTTACTGGAGTTTATGGTCATCTTTTCAGCCCCATCATCCTCTGTCTTCAAGTCATTATCACTATTTGAAGTTCTCTTACTGCCCCCACAGGCTTTCTTCCTACAGCCTTTGTTTTATGCTGTTTCTTTGCCTTAGAACATGTATTTCCCACTCATCATTATTGTGTTTTTTTGTTGTTGTGTTTTTGTTTTTGTTTTGTTTTTGAGATGGAGTCTCGCTTTGTCACCCAGGCTGGAGTGCAGTGGCACGACCTCGGTTCACTGCAAGCTCCGCCTCCCGGGTTCACGCCATTCTCCTGCCTCAGCCTCCTGAGTAGCTGGGACTACAGGCACCCGCCACCATGCCCGGCTAATTTTTTTGTATTTTTACTTGAGATGGGGTTTCACCGTGTTAGCCAGGATGGTCTCGATCTCCTGACCTCGTGATCCGCCCACCTCGGCCTCACAAAGTGCTGGGATTACAGGCGTGAGCCACCGCACCCAGCCCATTATTGTGTTTTTTCGATTTCCAGTTAGAATCCTTTTGAGATGTATTCCCTGACCTACCCAAACTAGATAAAATGTGCTCCCCATGTGTGTTAAATAAAAAATTCTAATTACCCCCATCACATTAATAACAGGTCATTTCTTTCAGCAGACTGGAATTTCTTGCAGACAAGGACCACGTATATTTTGTTCACTCATGAATCCCTAGCACTTGATATTTTTAGCATAAAATTTATCAATTTGTTGATTGAATGAATTAACGCATTCTAGAGATAGAAAGTTGTTAAATGGGCCTGAATGATACTGAGTCCAAGAATTATTCCCATACTTCTTTACATTGAATTATTTATCTGAAGGGCAAGCTTCTACTTACTTAGATTTACAAAAACATCTACCTCTGAGCTTTCATACTATGCTTTATGGAGAAACTGGTATCCTAAGGAACTTAATTACTCTTGTGTCCTCCAAATTTATTTCATTTTGGGTGGGAAGGCTGAAGACCAATCATGACAACTAGGATAACCTGAACCAAGTCTTTCTTAAGGAAACAGAAGGAATACATGCTTTTTAAGCTCCTAAAGGGAAAGACTTTTTAGATGCCAAATAACAGAGCTAAATATGTGCACGTTTTTGGCTAAATAGTATATTGTGCAACATGGTTTTTATATCCTGAGAGGAGAATTCATTCCAGTCAATCTGCCGTAAATATAATTAGATAAGTAAACATTTTAAATTAAATTCAAGAAAATACTTATCTCCTGTGTGTCTTAGTACTTAACATGATTTCTATACAATATATTTGGCCAGTTTTTTAAAAGATATGGAAACCATTCAAAAAAATGTTCTTCTATTGTTAAATGTCAAGAACACAAAAATATACATAATGCAAACCTTAAGGAACTTGGATAAAGAAATTTGACTTAAATGTACAGTAGTAGAAGAAGACAGAGTTATTGTCACTCTTATCAACTCTTACTTATCAACAATAAGTAAGAGTGACAATAATTCTAACTAATCCTTTGGCAAGGGTTGTGGGGAACATAAGCTAGGTCTCTGATTCAGTATAACAGTACATTCTAGATGTATAAATAATTCAACATTAAATAAATACACAAATTATTGGAAAAATATGAATATATACTTTGTGTTTTTAGATTTAATTACATAAACTAGATATGATTTTACTTTAAGTATTTTAAAATTTTAGACAACAAAAAATGAATAAAAAGGAGTCAACACATCCTGAAAAATGCTTACTACATATACAATAGATAAAAAATTAGTATCAGGATATCAATATATAAAGAACTCTAGCACATCAGTTAAGAAATTTTGAAAAACCAGACATGAAAACTAGACACACTAGAGACAGATTCTTCTTCTTGTGTCTTGAATTGAGGCTAATAAGGCTTTTGTCCCCAAATCAACAGTGAAACAAGGTAACCACACATGGCTTTAAATTTTGCCATGGTCATATTAAACAAGCAGAAAACCACTCTAGGTATTTCAAACAGTGGGCATTTAATGCAGAGAACTGGTTACACAGTCATGGAAGAACTGAAAAGCCAAAAGAGGAAGTTAAGCAACCCAGACTTTTAGCCACACCTAGAAGTTATGAGCGCCCCTAGGACTGCAGGGGCACAGAGCAGAGACGGTATTACCAGAACCCATAAGCCAGGACTGTGGCGTAACTGACAGAAGAAAAAGCACAGAAGCCTCTGGGGAGTGGCACTAAGGTGGGGAGGGAAGGGGAAGGAAAATGAGTAAATGTGACCTTTTCGTTGTCGCCATTTGTTCCATAAGCGTTTGTAGGGGAACCTACTAATTGCCAGAATCTTAGGGCTTGCATATGTGTCAAGTATCTAGTCCTAAAAAGAACTGTAATCCCTTTCTCCTAACTCTAAAGGACATTATCCCATGTCCAAGCCATTATGCTCAGCTGTCCCGTGTGGAATTGTGCTCAGAGCTTGTCCTATGTTCTTGTGAAAATCCTCAGGAGTTTCAGAAACAGCCTGAATTCATCCGAAGTTGAGTTTTCTGAATAATGTATGCAATCAAGCTTAGCAATTCTGATTTTTTAAAAAATTAGGGTTGACTTTTAATACATGAGCATTGATTTTCACTAGGGAGCTTGTGAAGAATTCTAAAAAGAGGAATTGAAAACTACAACTTACAGAAATTATTTTTAGCAATGACAGTATTGTTCAAACAAATGCATTGCTTTTGAGGGGGTTGCACTCACTAAGCTTGTTTGTTGTTATAAAAAAAATGAAATTAAATTTAAAAGTCCTTTACTCATAGCCATTCCTCAATGGCTCATCTATTAAGTATAGATGGAGACAGGATATAGGTAGAGATCAGTTTCAGAGCATGGGACATTCCCACATTGCCCTACTCCAGCATGATTAATGATCTAAAAGAGAAAAAAGGCACTCACCAATCTTCTTAATCCCATTCTATCAATGGTTTGATACTGCCTTCTTTTAAAAAACAAACAAACCAAAAAAAAAGGGTGAGGGGATGAAGAGAAGGATCATAAACATTCTTTTATCCTTTTCATCCTTCCCTGAACTTTGTAATTATAACCTCAATAAAAGGGTGGGAACATGGAAAGGAACATATTTTACCTGAAAAGTCTCACAGGAGACTCCTTTACCTCATGAAATAATTAACTTTGGGCAATGAGAAAATGGCATAGTAAAGGTACAGGCAAGTCAAATAAAATCACAAACTTGAAATTAGATTTCTTATCCCCAGTTTATGAATATTCTGCTTTTTCCCACTATCCTCAGCATGAGTTTTAGAAATTATTGATTATGGCTTCAAGGTGAAGTCTGGCCAAGGCCAAGTTAAACATGTTCCAGTACTAGTCTGGGCCTATTCAAGGTTAAATAAAAAAAAAAAAAAAAAAAAGGAATTGGGTTTATTGAAAACTATTTTCAGGGCTCAAAAGCCTCAATTCCAAAAACAGTATTTTTTCACCTTACTCTTACTCAACATGTTATTATTAATAATAATTATTACTGATATTTTAGAGCAAAAAGGTCTCTATTGCTGTTAATAAATTAAATGTATTTAAATAAATTTTACTTTTTTCATTTCCTTTATTTTATATTTAAATTTATATTTCTATATATGTTTTATGAAGAACCTAAACTATCAATAGAGTAGTACATGTATATTATGTATGAATTATGCATATACACAAATACATAAATAGGCACATATGCAAATATATTATTTGCATATATACAAATACATGCAGATATGAATACGCATTTAATTATAAAATTATGCATACACTACAGGTGCCTGCTTAGACACTTTTACTAAATGATGAATCCCTTAGAGACCACTATCTAGTGGCATACTTCTGAAATAAAACCTAAAATGCAGGAGAATGAGGGATTTTTATCCAGAAAATAGAAAAAGATTCTTCCAAAGTTACACAGAAAGAAAAAATATGAGAGAAAAATTTAAGGGTAATGAAGGTCAAATCTGATCATGTTTCATATACAGAAACAAGGAGCCATTGTGCACATGGACACCCCGAGGGACCTAAGGGCATCGTCTCAGAACCTGGGCACCTGAGGCACCCATCTCGAACATCTCAGCCATTGTGAGAATGAAAACTGTCTGTCTTCTCTTCCCAGGAGCTACCCTCACCCCTCCCATCAGAATCTGATGAGGGTTTTCCTTCCACAAAAATCCAGAACTGACCAAGTGAGTCCAGACACTGCTTGTGCCCTGATCAAATAAAGAAAACAACCACCTTTCACATTACCCAAACATCCAAAAGTCCACAGGGAAGATTGAGCCTGAGCATCTGGCAGAGTTAAGGAAAAGCTTCTGTCGCTGTACGTGGCGCAGGTGGTGGAAAGGTGACAGCGCTGAACTATCAGTATCAGTGCAAGACTTCTTAGAGGCAGGCCAATAATTCAAAATATCTACACGTCACTTGAGTGATTAAAATGAAATTTAGAAATCAGAAGTGTAAGATCAGAAAAATTTATAACTCATCTCACATAATGAGATTGCCTGACACATACCAGGACTCCACTGTAGTGGGTGACCGAACCTTAAAAGTGCCCCCAGTCTCAGCAATGCTCACCCATGAACAGAGAAAGGGACTATCCCATGATGTCCTACTATCCCACACAGCCCTGCTAAGACTCTATCAAAACCTCTCTCTTTTCAAACCTTCCAGCATCCCCCGACATTATACACACAGATATACATTCTCAGATAATGACGTCGCTTTTTAAAGCACTGTAAAAGAAGGCAATGAAGGAAAACTGCCTCATATTTCTCTCAACAAAATTATGTAACTACCTGCATCCATCTTCATCTTCTCTGCCTTCTCCATTATTCTTCATTATCTCCATTATTCTGTTCTCACTGCCCACAATTTCTTCTGCCTGACATCTGGGTCTCATCCCCTCTTGCTTTCTCCAAGACCCAGCCTCTTCATTTTTCCCTTCTCCATACCCTATGTCATCAGTTTCTCCATCTTTGTTGGACCATTCTCTTTACATACATACTCCTATTAACAAACAAAAGAAAACAAAACATTAACTCTCACATCTCCTATCAGTGTCTGCTCAATTCCTCTTATCACAGAAAAACTTTCTAAAAAATGTATTCAGGGCATACATGTGCAGGTTTTTTATATGGGTATATTGCGTGATGCTGAAGTTTGAGCTTCTATTGATCCCATCACCCACATGGTGAACTTGGTACCCAACAGGCAGTTTTTCAGCTCTTGCCCCCTACTCTCCATCCCCCTATTGGAGTCCCCAGTGTTCACTGTTTCCATCTTTATGTCCATGATCACAGAAAAACTTTAACAGTTGTCTCTGCTAGCTCCCTCTTCATCCTCACTTCTCATTCACCTTCTTTTGTCAGTGACCTCCTGTTTCCAGGTCCAATGGACTCCTCTCTGTTCTCATCTCACTTGCATCTTCAGCAGAATATAACTCACTTCACTCTGTCCTCCCTCATGGAACATTCTAGTGTTTCCTGCTTCTGCAGTGAATGTTTATTGAAGTTCTTTCACCAAGATCCACTCTCCCTTCTGTTGACAATACTCTAATTTTGTACCCTCCTCATCTTGGTCATATCATTTCAGATGCGAGTGACCTTCTACTCCAGACCTGTTCAATCAAATAGTAATAGCACAGAGTGCTGACTATGTCCAAGGCACTGTTCTAAACGTTCTGGGAATAATTCATTTAATAATCATAATAATTTTATGAGGTAGGTACTATTATTAGCCATACTTTAGCAATAATGAAACAGAACCACAGAATCCTTGACTAGTCCAGGCTCACTCAGCTAATGAACAATAGAGCTGAGTTGAATCCCATGCCCTTAATCATGGTGCTATTCTGTTTCTCTCACATTTCCTGACCACAGTCATTGATTTACGGGGTGTGTGTTAACGGAAATTATCTTGACACTGGAATTTGTAAATTAGAAGAATCCATTGTGACCATGTGGAAAGAGTCTGCATAAGTATAAAGGGGAAAGTGGGAAAAAGTGGAGCCCCCAAATTATAAATGATGTCATTTGAGCACTTAGATCTAGCCATGCCTGAAGCTGGATAGTCTTGAATTTTTCAGTTGAACTGTTCAATAATTTTTTTTTTTTGGCGTAAGTCAGCTATGATGTTTTTTCTTCTGAGTCAACACTTGCCTCCAAAATGCATTGACGAAGTGTTCATGACAGCACATTCCTGTTTTTCTTTCACAGATTTTCCTTTTCTGTTTCTTTTGCCAGTTTCTCCTTCTCCAGCTGACCATTAAATGCTGATGGTTCTTGAGTATTAGTGCACAAATCTCTCTTTTTTAAATCTCTTATTCTCTTCCTAGGTGAGCTAATCTAACCTCATAATTTTAAAGGTCAATTATATGTTGGTGACTCCCAAATTCACATGTCAAATTCATTTATCCCTTCAACTCTAGATTCATCTGCCCACTTAACACCTCCAGCTGGATGTTTATTAGACAACACAAACAAATCTATTTTTTGCCTATCCCAAATTCTTCCTACTCCAGTCTTCCCTATCTCAAGAAAGGGCACCACCATCTACCTTGTTGCTCAAACCAAACATCTAAGTCAGCCCTATGTCCTTCATTTCTTTTGCCCTCTTATCAAATCATGTCCCACAGGGTTTTTTTCCTATTTTCTTTTGAGACAGGGTCTCACTCTGTCACACAGGCTAGAGTACAGTATCACAATCTCAGCTCACTGAAACCTCTGTCTCCCAGATTCAAGCAATACTCCCACCTCAGCTTCCCAAGTAGCTGGGACTACAGGTGGGCACCACCACACTTAGCTAATTTTTGTATTTTTGGTAGAGACAGGATTTCACCATGTTGGCCAGGCTGGTCTTGAACTCTACACTTCAAGTGATCTGCCCGCCTCAGCCTCCCAAAGTGCTGGGATTAAAAGCATGAGCCACTGCGCTCAGCCAATTTTCTTTTTCCAAATGTCAAATCCATTCATTTATTTTTGCCTGTCACCACCTTCATCCACTCTTGCTCGTTTCTAATTTTCAGTCCCTAGGAGCCAGTAAATCAGGCCACATCATTCCCCTTTCCTAAATTCTTTAACTAGGTTTTTTGCCCTTGGAATGGCTTCTATCCCATTTCTCTGTTCTCTTTAAAGCCACATCTGATGGAGACCCTCCTATTTGTTTCATCATATACTACTTTCTGCTAACCCCAGTACTTAGCTGGCCCGTTTTTCAGTTTCAAACACATACATCCTTTCCTACTTCTTGACCTTTCTTCTTGAAGTTCCTATTTCCAGAAATGCACTGCTTCTAGCTCTTCATGTGGTGGCATCATTTTCATTCCTTCCCTCTCTACTCAAGTGTCGTTCAGAAACTGGGGCAGACTCCATCAGTCCCTCTTACCATGAAGACCTGACTTCCTATTGCTGGCACCCACATTTTTTTTTTCCAGATGGGAGCTTTTCTCTGGCTGCTGGATCTCCTCTGGCCACATGTTCAGTAGGTAGGAAATGTCCAGAAATGCCCTCCTCTCACGGTAACTTTAATAACTGACCATGATCACTTTATAAATACTCCAGCTCCCACCCACCTCAGGTGGAATAATTCACAGGTCCATGTTCGACACCATCTCCCAGAGTTCCCCAGCGCAATCAGCTACAGTTGCCTAAGTGATTGGAGGGTTAATGAAGCACTTTGGTGGGCTCCTTCCCTTCCTTGTCTCACTCCCTGATCTTCTGGGGATTCGTGGGATTACCTTCCAAAGAAACCACTTGTGCCTAAATTCTTAGCTCAGAGCCTCTTCCTGGAGGAACTCAAACCAAGAGAAAGGCTTCTTTCATTTCCACTCTCTCTACAGAGGCCACACCCAGCTATTTAAATTCATTATCTACTTAATCACAGTTCTTAGAAGCCCTATTTACTTGTTTTCTCTTTATTTTTTGGTTTTTTTTCCTAGGACTTTATCTTCTCAACAATTGCAACCCCCTTACCTAGTTTAGTGCCTGAGAGATATTAGACACTCAATAAACATTTGTTAAATGAATAAACAAATGATTGAACCAGGCTCACTGCTTCTTTCCTGCCATGCTATGATGGTGCAGTAAATTTCTTTTCGTTGACAGGGTAGATTGTCTTAATGAGGATTTTTATACTACTTTCAGCTATATTCAGCAAGCAGAACATGGACTATTTTGTCCTGATAGTATTAGGGGAACAGTGACAGAGAGAAAACATGCAATCCAGGTTTTCTAAATCCAAGTCCAGTGGGATTTCTACGGCATGCCACTATTACTAGTTCTACAGAGTGTGGATCTAAGTTTCTTTTTCATATATTGAGAAGAAGCTGCATCTGAACATTCACAGCTCTTACCTGCCTGACTTCCCATGAGTCAAAACTATGCAATTATTAAATGGCTGCCCAAGGTCAGAAGTGCAGCTGTGACCAATAAACAAAGGATTAATTATGTAAGACTAACTGGCCTGGATGACAACTGAACCCTTGACCATGGCCTTGTTAACATAGCCTCCAAACAGGCTGTAACCGGTATCTGTATTCTTATTTTTCATTTCTTCCTTTTATTTTGCTTAAACACAGTTTGTGTTTCTAAGTTCTTCAGGGAATATTTTGTCCCTCTGACAGTTTTGAAGTTTATTTCCTTTCACCTTCAAATTCATATATTGTCTCCAATGCTCACCACCCATTACAATCTGGCTATTTCTACTGAAATGGAATTCACCCATTGATCTCCAAATTACATTATTTTTCCACAAGAAATTACTTGCCTACCCTTGCTGATATTTTTCTTTTTCTTTTACACTGCCAAGATGAGGGTATGGTAGGCACACAGTAAGTAAGCACTTCTAACTCACTACAATAGTAAGTTAGAAGTACTTACTGTGCTCAGCACTTCTCTGAGTAATAAGTACTGACTCAGCACTTCCTTGTGACCTTACAGTGACTGAGGGCTACTCCTCTGTCTCCTTCACTTTGACCCTATCCTTAAGGAAATGTTTCCCAAGGTTCCCTTCCGGTCTTCAGAGCTGAAGATGTGACAAAGGAGCCATCCGCAGGCAGTTTGGCTATAACATGTGCTATAGGAAGACGAGTCATGGGCAATAGGGATGAAGTGGCTGATGCTCAACTAGAGAACTTCAAATACTAAGCATGTACAAGTGGTCTTGCTTGTATAAGCAAGAGGATCCACTGATGTTTCTCTAAATATGTAACACTTTACTGAATGTATAAGGGGTTTAAAAAATACATGAAAACTTATACTTCACACACTACACATGCACACACCCTAACTTTAATTAGAGAAAGGTTTTTTTTTTACGGAGTCTTAATTTTTCCATCAAACCCTCATTATCAATGTACAAAATGAATGTGAAACAGAATCTAAATCTTATCAGTAGGAGAAATGAATATCTACAGTCTTTTCTTAGGCAGACCTGATTATAATTACATCAATTCTATCTTTCAATCTTAGCTTACTATGTGATAGTAATGGCTACTTCTAAACCACCCAGGGCTTCACACCTCTGAATGAGATGGATATCTCAGTCAAGTAAGATCTATTGTCTGGTGAAGATCTAGCAAAGGTTAAAAACCCAAATTCCAGGGTTAGATTTAGTTTCCATCCTTAATCTGCCACACCCCATCTATGTCACACTAGATAAGTCTTTAAATTCTCAAAAATTCAGCATAGGTTTGAAAAGAGTTTTCAGTAGGAATCAGGATTCTTGATCATTTTTTACAGCTTTATTGAGATATAGTTCACATACCATAAAATCCACTTAAACTGTACAGTTCAAAAATTTTTATTCTATTTACAGAGTTACGCAACCATGACCACATTCTAATTTTAGGACATATTCAACAATCCAAAAAGCCTCATAGCAGTCATACCTTATTCCTGCTCCCCCATTGTACCTAACACAACGTAAATACTGTGTAACTAGTTGCTATATTGTGTTTTCTGTTTTTTTTTTTCAATTATTTTTGATTTGTGGTTGACTGAATCTGCATATGCAGAATCCAATGGTAGAAGAAGGCCAACTGCAGTATGTTTTAAAACATCAGAGTGTGAGTTCTCCAACTTTTCTTTTTCAAAATTGTTTTGACTATTCTAGGCGCATTGTATTACCACATAAATTTTTGGATCAGCTTATCAATGTCTGGGGAAAAGTGAGATTTTGATAGCATTATGCTGAATCTGTGTATTAAGTATTGCCATCTTAACATTAAGTCTTCAAATCCATGAACACAGATATCCTTCTATTTACTTAGATCTTACTTTCAACAATGTTTGTAGTGTTCAGTGTACAAATGTCGTTTTTGTTTAGGGAAATTCATTTTTTGTTTACACAAATTTATTCCTAAGTACTTTCTTTGATTCTTTATAAATGGAATTGCTTTTTCAATTTTATTTTAAAATTGTTTCTTGCCAGTTAATAAAAGTACATTGATTTTTATATATTGAGCTTGTATCTTGCTACATTGCTGAACTTATCAGTTTAAATTGTGTAGTTTTCCTATATTTATATATAAAACTATATACAAAATCATCTGCAAACAGAGTTGTACTTTTTCCTTTCCAATTTGAATGTCTTTTATATCCTTTTCTTGCCAAATTGCCCTGGCTAGAAACTCCAGTACGATGTTTAATAGAAATAGCAAGAGCAGCATTCTTGTATTGTTTCTGATCTTAGGAGAAAGTCATTCTTTCTTTTGCTAAGATGTCCATCATTGAGTTGAAGTTTCCTTCTATTCCTAGTATTGAATGTTTTTATCATGAAGGAGTACTGGATTTTGTCAAATGCTTTTTCTTCATCCATTGAAATAAATGTGGGGTTTTTTTGTCCTTTATTAATTTGGTATATTATATTTATTGATTTTTAGATGTTAAACTACCTTGCATTCTTGAGATAAATCTCACATCAGTTGTGGTGTATGATCATTTATAAATCTTACTAGATTTTGTTTACTCATTTATTTCGAGGATATTTGCATCTACTTTCATAAAGGATATTGGTAAATAGTTTTCATATAATTCCTTTGTCTGGTTTTGGTAAAAAGGTAATGCTGGATTCATGGCATGAGTTGGGAAATGTTATCTCCTCTTATTTTTTGGAAGGGTTTGTAAAGAATTGGTATTAGTTCTTTAAACATTTGTTAGAATTCACAAGTGAAGACATCTGGCTCTGAGCTTCTCTTTGCTAGAAGTGTTTTTAATTATTAACTCAAACTTTTGCTTTTTATAGGTCTACTTAGTTCTTTTATTTATTCTTGAGTCAGTTTCAGTAGCTTGTGTCTTTCTAGGAATTTATTCTTTTCATCTAAATTTATTGGCATACAGTTCACAGTATTCCTTTATAATTCTTTTCATTTTTGCAAGATCAATGATGTCTTCTCTTTCAATTTCTGATTTAATAAAAATTTTTTCTTCAGTCTAAAGGTTTGTCAATTTTGTTAATCTTTACAAAGAACCAACTTTTAATTTTGTTGATTTTTCTGTATTGCTTTTCTATTCTCTATTTCATTTATTTCTTCTCTGTTATTTATTCTTTCTGCTTGCTTTGGGTTAGTTTTTGTTGTTCTAGTTTCTCGAATATCTTAAGATGAATTATCTAGAGATCTTTCTTAATATATTTATTATATATTTAATATATTAGTTAATATATTTAATATATATATTTAATATATTAGTTAATATATTTAATATATATATTTAATATATTAGTTAATATATTTAATATATTATATATTTAATATATTAGTTAATATATTTAATATATTATATATTTAATATATTAGTTAATATATTTAATATTTTTTAAATATATTTAATATATAGTGGTTAAAAAGCTCCATTTCTAACCTCTTAGGGTCCTGGCTGGATCCCAGAATTAAGTAAGATAGATTAACAGGAGAAAAGCATAATACAAGTTTTACATGATATGAGAACTCTCATAATGAATACCCAAAGGAGTCGTTATAGTCAGCTACTTATGTACTAGATTGAACTAACAATAGTTAATTGTGAATCAGCAAGTAAGGCTGAAAAGATAAAAGTTATTTTAACAAGGTCTATATAGAATTATCTCAATATTGACTTCCTATCTTGAGGATGAAGATGTTGCTTTTCCTTCTAATCTTCAGAGAGTATTTCACATAGGAATTTTGTCTTCTGCTTTCAAGAAACAGCACAAAGGTCAGAATGATCTTTATGTAACTGCTGTTTTTCAAGTGACTTTAACTTAAATTGATGCCAAAATCACTTATTTGACTTGAACTTAAATTGATGCCAAAATCACTTATTTTACCCCTTCATTTGTTTACAGTTATATACTTCCTTCTAAACACTGCCTTACCTGTGCTCCATGTATGTTGGTATGCCATATTTTTGTTTTCATGTCTTAAAGTGTATTCTCTCTTCCATTGCATTTTCTTCTTTGACCCATTGGCTATTTAAAAGAGTGTAACTTAATTTCCGCATATTTGTGAATTTTTCAAATTTTTTATTGATGTCTATTTAATTCTATTTTGGTTGGAAAACACTTTGTATGATTTAGAGACAACTGTTCTACAGATGTCTATTAAGTCTATTTGTTCAAATCTTTTATTTCAATGTTGACCTTCTGTCTAATCTACTCATTACTGAATATGGTGTATTAAATTCTCCAAATATTATTGCTAAATTCTCCATGTCTCCCTTCAATTCTGTCAATTTTTGCTTCCTGTATTTTGGGAAATTTTTAAAGGTGTCTTTGCTTATAATCATAACATCTTTCTGAAGGAGTAATATTCTTTTAATAAAATGTCCTTTTTGTCTCTAATAATACTTTTAAGCTCTGTGATTACTGTTATTAGTATAGCCACTGAAATTCTGTTTTGGGTACTGTCTATATAATATGCCTTTTTCCATGCTTTTTAAGTCTTTAATCTTTATGTCTTTTTCTAAGCTGTATCTTTGACTCTTAAGTGTATTGCTTGTAGACAGTATATAGTTGGATCATGATGTTATTAAATTCATTCTGAGAATCTATTTTTGACTGATGTGTTTAATCGATTTACATAATTACTGATAAAGACTTACGTTTGCTGTTTTGTTTTTCTATGTCTTTTTTGTTTCACTATTCCTTAATTTGTCTTTTTTGTGTGTTTAATGGATATTTTCTAATGTGTCCCCATTTCAATTCTCCTGTCAATTCTTTTACTATATGCTTTTAAAATTTATTTTCTCAGTTGTTGTTCTGGGGATTACTATTAACATCTTAATTTTTAACAAACTGGTGAAATAATTCCAACTTAAATGGAACAGTGTTTTAAAACTTTGCTCCTCTATAGCTCAATTCTCTTCTCCCTCCTTTGTGCTAGTATTGTCATACAAATTATGTCCTTATATATTGTTGAGTGTTTAACAAATAATTTTATAATTATCGCTTTATACTGTTGCCTTTTGAAACAGGATAGTTACAAATATATATTTACACTGTCTTTCATAATGACTTGCACTTATCCTGAAATAGTGCTGTTTATTTCTTTTTGGGGGTTTCAGTTATTGTCCACTGTATCACAAAGGACGTACTTTAGAAACTCTTATAGGGAAGGCCTACTAGCAGTAAATTCTCTGTATTTATTTTCCAGAAAATTAATTAATTTTTCTTCATTTTTAAAGAATAGCTTATCTGGATACAGGAGTCTCGGTTGACAATCTTTTTAACACTAATAATTTATCAGATTTTCCTTAGCCTCTATTTTGTCTTATGAAAAGTCAGTTATTAATCTCACAAAGGATGCCTAGCACATGATATGTCATTTTCCTCTTGCTGCTTTCAATATTTTATTTCTGTTTTTGACCTCATCATTTAACTATTATATGTCTATGTGTGGATACCTTTCAGTTTATTCTAAGTGGAGTTTATTGAAATTTTCAAATATTTAGATTAACATTTTTCATCAAATTTTAAAAATTGGGAGGCATTACTTCACTTTTTCCTGCCTTTTCTTTTTCTTATCCTCCTGAAATTTCCATTATGTGTATATTTATGGTGTCCCACAGGTCTCTCAGACTCTAAGATGAAAGGTCATTCAAGATTATCCAGTCTGAGGAACAAAAAAAATAAAGGAAAATGAGCAGAGTCTTTTCCTTCATTCTTTTTGTTCCTCAGACTGGATAATCTCGAATGACTTTTCATCTTTAAGTCTATTACTTCTTTCTTCTGCCAGCTCAAATCTACTATTGCTGTTATATATTTTTTCTTTTCTGTTATTGTATTTTCAACTCCAGAATTTCTATTTAGGCTCTTTTCTGTAATATCTAGCTCTTTAATAATATTTTCTATTTGGTAAGAAGTATTGCCATACTTTTAAAAAATTATTTAGACATAGTTTCCTGGAGTTCTTTGAGCATATTTAACATAGCTGATTTAAAGTCTATGTCTAGTAAATCCAATGTCTGAGCTTCCTCAGGAAGTTACTAGACAAGGACTTGTGATTGAAAATTAGATTTTTAAATACACATTGTAACATCTGTGGCATCAGATTCCTCCACCCATCCCAAAGTTTTGTGGCTTTTGCTGTTGTTTTTCTGGTTGCCACTTGTTTAGCAACTTTTCTAGACTCTTTATTCCCTGAAGTATGTGGCCTCTGCTAGTTTTTTTGTAAAGTCCTTGCTTTTATTTTTAAGCCTGGCCTCCTAAGGGTCACATCTGGTTTAGTATAATTTAGTGGTCACCAACTGATTGGTCAGAAGAGATGCTTAAATGCCTTGCTTTTCAATCTTTCACTGTTGCCAAGGGGACCTGTGTGAGAAGGTAACCCTTCAAACTTCAGTTTATAAGGTATCCTTAGCTCATATTTCTTACTTGCAAAAGGACAGGAAGTTGTGAGTGCCTTTTCCTTTCCCGGTTCTTTCCTAGGCATTTGCTCAGGTTTGCTCATGTGCAGTCTTTTAGATCTCAAGGAACATGTATGAGCTTTCTAAAGTTTCCTATAGTTGTCTAGTTCTCCAGGATTGTCTTTAAAATTACCCAAACAGGCTCTTGTTTGGCCAACTGAAATCATAGCCTTGGGCAACTGAAATGTCACCAGCAGTTTGCTATTGTTTTAAATAATGTCCTAGAGCAGGCTTTCTGCTATACATACACACACACACACACACACACACACACACACACACACACACACACACACACAGAGCTAAGTTCTGGGTCAAATAGCTACCATACTCTGAGAACAACGCTTTTAACCAAGATCCAAAAACAATAAATCTTTCCATTTTCTGCATGGCTGTCAATGTTTGGTGACCACACTGCTGAACAGAGTATGAAGGAGGAAAGAAATGAACTCATTGTTAGAATTTTACAGACCCTATTTTACTGATCTTTAGTAGTTTCCCTTGGATACATGATTTCCAGTCTGTTCTGTGGTGTTGGTTATTGCCAGATTTCTGTAATGTTTGTTTTTAATTGTTTGGACCATATTTTTGTTGTTTTAGAAGAGAAGCAAGTTCACTAAGGTCTTTAGTCTATAACTCTAGAAGTTCACTCTCTGGTTCATTTTTCTTTCAACTGTTAGAAATTTGTCTTGTTACTATATTGGTTGACCGACTGAAATACTCTCTCTGAGCTGTTTCTTTTACCCAAAGTATAAGAATAATATGTCACATATTATAAAAGACTGCTGCATAAGTGAGTGTAGAAAGGTCTAGAGAATTATAATTTGTATGTAAATGTATACCTACATATGTAGATATAAATAAATATGTAGATATGCTTTCCTTCTGTCATTCTGAAAATAATTTAAGAGAATGATAGGCTGTTTTACCTTGAGGACTTCGGGTGACAAAATTGGCTGGAATAATTTGGTGGCTGATAGCAAATTTGGACAAACACATTAAATGATTCTTTGAGGAGAGTAGACTCATGAAGAGAATCATAAAGTTACTATATCTCCCACTGTGCCTTTGAAGGTATTCAGTGATACTAGTTTTTCCTTTACCATTGAATAAAAATTTAGTTAGCTCTTCCCTCCCATAACTCCACTAGACACTTTACAATAGAAAGATCTATCATGAGTTTGAGTCACAAACACTCAGTTCAGTACATAAAATTCTCCAGCCTAATTACCTACTTTAATCAAAAGCAAGACATCATCATACTCTTTCCAAGCTATGCCTTATTGAAGACAAGGCATCTGCCTTTAAGAAAGGAATTGCAGGTAACTTTTTTCTTTCTCCTTCATTTTTATCCCCATATACCAGCTGCTAATTCTTATCCCTTCCTCTGAGATTAGAGGAAAGGAAGAGTAAAGTAGTAATGTAAACAAAAATGTCATTAGGTGACTTGCACCATTATAAGCTTCCTTCTGTCCAGCAGGTTGTTAAATCTGCATCTTTTTCCTGTGATACTTCCATGTTTGTTTGCATTTCGCGATATCCTCACTCCAAAGTTTATACTGAATCACCCGTGGTCCCTCAGACTTTTTACTAAAGCCCCCAGCCTTAAAAGAAACTCCTTTCTTTCAGGGAAACTTGTTTCTTTCAAGGCTGAGAAGAGGCCAGTTGCATTTCTACTAGGTGCACTATTTCAAATTCCCAGATTTGTCTAACCTTGATGAATACCTATTATAAATAACCAGCTTGTGTTTCTTCCTTTCATTGCTCTTTAACTGCTTGAGCAACATTTCTTGACTCCTGAATCAGATCATATTCTTCCCACAGTCAGAGATGACGCTGCATAGTCTTTATAACCTTGCATCATCTTTACTGTCGTCAACATTTGAGCAATGAAATGAAATGCTAGTTGCTGTAATTATAGTTAATAGTAGCTAACATTTATGGAGCATTTACTAGGTATTGCCTAAGTATACTTTTACTTTATATATACTTATAATCCTTACATATATTTTCATACATAATCACCTTATGGGGTAGATAAAACAAAACCATGGGTATATAACACCTTTATTTTAAATATGAGGAAGATTAGTCCCAGAGAAACTAGGCAACTTGTTCAAAGGCACTTAGTTAGGGGTGGCAGAAGCATGTTTTGGCTCAGAGCCCAGCTCTAGACCCCAAAACACTTGCACCCTTTGGTGTTTTATCTCTTTAATGTCCTAGTGACTCTGACATTAATTTTTCAGGTAGTCTTAAATTATCTCATCTTCTTCATCCTCAATGTTCCTGTCTATAAATGGAGCGGGAAAGATCAGAATTGTAAAAGCATCCATTCTTATTTTGTCATTCCATGGCTCAATCAAGACACCTCTGGGCCAGGCTCGGTGGCTCACGCCTGTAATCCCAGCACTTTGGGAGGCTGAGGCAGGTGGATCACCGGAGGTCAAGAGTTCAAGACAGCCTGGCCAACATGATGAAACCCCATCTCTACTAAAAATACAAAAATTAGCCAGGCGTGGTGGCACATGCCTGTAATCCCAGCTACCTGGGAGGCTGAGGCAGGAGAATCACTGTAACTGGGGAGGCAAAGGCTGCAGTGAGCCAATATCACACCCACTGCACTCCAGCCTGGATGAATGAGCAAGATTCCATCTCAAAAAACAAACAAACAAACAAACAAACAAACCTCTGATAACACCCTTTCTATGAAGCTCTGAAGCTCTGTCCAGCCAAACTGTCACACACTAATGGGCTTAAACAATACTAATGAAAACAATCTCTTCTCTCCATATCCATTATCTCACTACATCTTTACAGTATTTTTAACCAAATACCGAATGTCCAAGAATAGAGCCTCAGATACAGATATAGAACAACATCAACAAAAAGCCCTGAATTCTGACACAAAAATTTGAACATTTTCATGTTTCCTTGACCTAGAGATACTTGGATTCAGCACATTAACTTACCTGACCTCGCAAACCTTACAGCAGGACCATGGTCAATAAGAAAAAAAGAGGGAGACACAATTATCTGCTAACTCTTAAAAAGAAAATTCCTCCCTATCTCTTTCTGCAGGAAAAAAAAATGTAATATATTTGCTCTCCCTTTCCATCTTTTATTCTGCTCCATCCTCCTTGGTCTTCCAAGTCTTTCCTTTCTTAATAGGTTGGTATTATCCTTAAAAACACAAATCCTACTGTACTGGTCTGACCTTGACATTAAGACCCTTGTATATGAGCTGTCAGAAAAGGACCCACAGAGGCTTTGTCAATAAATAATAAAAATCCAGTACATAAAGGTTTGACTATGATGTGAGATATCCGTAACATTGGTGTGACATAAAATTTCTCAAGTGTGGCAAAGCAGACTTATTTCTCTAAAAACATAATTTAATCTCATCAAATTATCACTTGACAACTGATTGTAAATCACGTATGAGGAAGCAGAGGAGCAGCTTGGAACGGGTGCCACCTTCAAAGTCAGTATTTAACCAAGAGATAATATGCTTGCAGGTAATCAGCTCTACGGTTCTGCATCATTAGCAGATCCATTAGTACCATTTGCTTATTTGTTCAGTATCTTGCACCCATCTCCACAGTTTCTGGCATGGGTGTCCATAACAAGTTGATATGCAACAAGGTCAATAAGCACAGCTGGTAGAAGTTTAGGGATAACAAGTGCAATGCTATGTGTCCATGTGGGGCAAAGAGCATCACATGACCCCAGGGATTCAGACCATATCTTGACTGGCTATGCATGTGTATTATTAGTTGAAGGGCAAAGACCTTCACAATCCATGGTGAGCAAGTAATGTAGGTATGCATAATGTGATAAGACAAAATTGAGTTTATAGTCAACTCTTAGTGATTCATTACTACCAGAGAGTATGGATGTTGTGGCTTATCCAAAAATCACTTCAATTGGCTTTGATTAAATCATTTCCAAAATGGATAAAGCAAATCTACCTAAAGTCTGTATGATTACAAAGCTAGTCAATGATGACACGGAGGCCAGAACCCAAGTCTTCTGAATCCTACTGAAATGCTTTTGTATTTTTATCATATTTTCCAATGTGTCAGCAAATTCCAGCATTTGACAGAATGAACAACAAAATAGATGTGGTTTCTAAGAGAAGAGGGAGATACAGACCTTGGGTTCTCTAATTTTTGTCAGGAGAAGTTAGATCCTGAAGGCGATACTGGAGGAGAACAAGAAGATTGGCTGGAATGTTCCATGCCGAAGGACAAAGCACATCTTGTAATGGTTTCAATTGTTTATTTAGCTATTGCTATTAATTTCACGTTTGTCATTTACCGACACGATTGCAAGATTTAGAAAATGAGTATATCAATTTTTTTGAGTCAGTGAGCCTTATATGTATCATTCTTGTTTATTCTCTTCAAGATAACTTAAGTCTGAGTGTGGGATTCTGCCACAAAGGTTTATATAAACCAACTCTTCAGCTTTGCTTCTTGCAAAAATCTCCTCTGCAAAAGCAGATATTAGCTGAGTTGATGTAGTTAGCAGCCTAAAGCACTGCATGGAAGACTTTGAGGTCAGCAGAAAACTTTATCACCATGTTTGTCTACTAGAGATTTCTGTACTCATGAGAATTGTAAAGGCCAAATAATTAGACCACATCTAATAGTAATGCATGCATTAGAAATTCAGCATAGTGAAAACAAAAAAAGGTTGCTGATATTCATATCCTAATAATTATACAGTACTTTTTCAACCTCCTTCAGCTCGTTGAGCTTTTTCTTCATTTATCTATTGGCCTTGCAATCTCTGACAAGTGCTTCTGTGGGAGAAAAAAAAACTGACCACTTCTCAAAGTTTGATAGCTCATAAATAACAAATTGCACACCTAGTAGTATTATCACCTCATATAAGCATTACAGTTCAGCTTTGGAATTTATTAACTCAGTAGCTCAAAAACATGACTAGGGATGCAGGATTTTTCCATCTTGCAGCATTGCATCCTTAATCTGTTTTCTTTCCTCCTTAGGTTTGTTTCTCATCATTGCAATATGACTACAGAAGTTGCATACATCACAATAGTCACAGAAATAGTGAGGGATTCAAGAAAAGAAAAATATTTCCTCCAGCATAAATATTTACCAATGAAAATAAGCTTTACAAGAATCATTCAACAGACTTCCCCTCATGTCTCTTCAGCCAAAATTGCATTAAATGTCAAGACTTAAACTATTCACTTTAAAGGGTGATGAAATGATCTATAATTGGCTAGAACTCATCAAGATGCATCCCCTTGTTGCTGGAATAAAGCCAAGCTTACAACCTTGCCTCCGGGAATAAGGGGGACAACCAACAGTGTCTGCTCATTTGATGTAACTGGGATAAAAATTCTAAACATAGCAAGATTTAAATACAAGAGATTTGGAACTATAGAAAATGAATTTGACTTGAAGTATGAAATAGGAACTAGAGTGGCAAAGCATGAAATAATTAAAACCACCAGATACAGCAGGGATTTTTTCTATGTTTTATAAGAAACACAAATATGGCATAACCTGAGAGCAGATACTACTGGCAATTATTTTGGTGTGTAAATGTTTCAGTATGACTATGTTTAAAATAAGTTACACCCTGTACCATCATGTATTATCAACCCCCTTCCCCCAAGACTCAAACTAGACTTACCATATGCCACCACTTCTAAACTACTGAATTGCCCAATTTTCCCTATTATGAAATGACCTCACATTGAGAATGTGTTACACAGCCCTTAAAAAGCATTTATTGAATAAGATCAATGGTCACTGGAGTGTTCACCAACTGCCACAGGCACTCCAAACCATGGGTAGGACATTTAGCTGAGGGGTAGGGGCGGGGAGAAAAATAAAAATAATAAAAACAGTAAAAACATTAAGAGGTTCAGAAAGACATCTGTAGGTACACACTGAACATAACAGTGGGTTTTCAGACACAGCCCTGTAGGGATCCAATGTAAGCTTTGGAAAATGAATTCTTGTTAAACACAGGGCACTTGATAGGCCGTTTGTGATGGTTGAGAGAACTTTAGCTTAAGAATTAGATAGATCTAGGCTTAATTCCTGGCTTTACTAATCACTCACTTTGGGCAAGTTGCATAATCCATTAGTTAATTGGGGAGCTCATGAAGAATGATGTCAGTGATGCAGGGTTATGGGAGGATTGGAAACAGTACAGAGAGTGTGTCTAGCACCATGCTGAGCATAACAGCCAACGATGGTAGTGGTAAGGGATATGGAAGTAGCATTGGTCATGGCAATAGCTGTGCACTGCTACAGTTGGAAAGGGGCAGGAGGAGTCTTAATGCCAGATTAGTAATCATACAGAAAGTTTCTTTATATATTGCTGACTATATGGAGACACTGTTGACTGAGGAATGATCTCCATGTATCAATGAGAATTATCTTTTGGGAAGTGCCATGAAATAGTGAAGGAAAAGTGAAATGCCTGCACAGCCTCTAGGATGATTCCATCAGAGAGGAGATAAGCCACCCCCATATGCAGTGGCAGGCAACAACTATGGCGTGAGGTCACTAAGTGGATCACTCACACGTTAATTAAGAGCAATACAAGCTGGAACACGAGAGTTAAATTAGCAATGTATTAAGGCCAGGCACAATGGCTCATGCCTGTAATCCCAACACTTCGGGAGGCTGAGGTGGGTGGATCACTTGCGCCCAGGAGTTCAAAACCATGGGCAACATGATAAAACCCCCTGTCTGCAACAAAAATAAATAAATAAAGCCAGTGTGCTGGCTTGCACCTGTAGTCTCACCTATTCCAGCGGCTGAGGTGGAAGATTCACTTGAGTTGGGGAGGTTGAAGCTACAGTGAGCTGTGATTGTCATCACGCCACTGCACTCCAGCCTGGGCGATGGAGTGAGACCCTGTTTCAAACAAACAAAAATGTGTTTAAAGGAGGGACAAATCTAACTAATAGGTAGTGGAGAAGAGGGACTGAGAGAAGAGAGAATGAAACTATAAAATATTTGTTGTTCTTTTTCAAGTAAAGTTCTCTCAAGGCCAAAAGTGATATTTGCTACCAGATTCATGATTGCTTTCTCCATCACTTATTAAATTCTCTGCCTCCCAGCTCTGCCTTTCCCACTTCAATAATTCATTAACAAACGTTATTAGACACAAAGTTTATGAAAGCAGTGCTGCTTTTGGAAAGCTGTGTAACAAATTGCTGTTATCTAAAAGAGTGAGACGGAATAGCATTACCATGCAAAGGGACAAAGCCATAGAAACAAAATTTGTAGAATAATGACATAGCATATTGCAAGAAATACTGTGCTCAATTTTGCAGAATTATGCCAATTGCTCCAAATTTATATTCTACCGTCTGCAGCCTGAAATTGTCATCCTGTTCAAGCTCATTTGCATCCGATCAGTCCTACCGTATCTCAGTGTCACCATCATATTCACATCTGCTCAACTAATAAAATCATTCTTTGGATACATTCTTCTTTTGAATTCTAGTCCTTTGATGAACCTTCTCCTGAGCACTTAAAGCAATGCTGTTCTGCCGTGAGCTCATTTTGTCCTTAGTATCTGTTCTTGTCATTAGGTGTTTACTACATATATTTTCTTGTCCTGTTATAATTACTTTCCATTTAAATTTGTTCCATATTTTTGAGAAAATATTTGCAAACTATGCATCTGACAAAGAGCTAATATCTAGAATCTATAAGGAATTCAAACAAATCAGCAAAAGAAAAACATAGTATCACCAAAAAGTGGGCAAATGACATAGACGTTTATTAATAGATGTTATACAAATGGCCAAAAAACGTGAAAGAATGCTCAACATTACTCATCATCAGGGAAGTGCAAACCACTATGAGATTCAACCTTACACCAGCCAGAATGGCATTAAAAAGTCAAAAAATATTAACAGATGTTGGTGAAAAAAGAACATTTATACACTGCTGGTGGGAATGTAAATTAGTACAACCTCTATGTAAAGCAATATGGAGATTTCTTAAAGAACTAAAAGCAGATCTACCCTTTGATACGCAGTGATCCCACTACTGAGTATTTACTCAAAGGAAAAGAAGTCAGTATATCAAAAAGACACCTGCATGCATATGTTCATTACAGTACAATTCACAGTTGCAAAGATATGGAACCAACCTAAGTGCCCATCAACCGAAGAGTGGATTAAAAAAATGTGGTGTATGTATACACCATGGAATACTACTCAGCCATAAAAAAGAATGAAATATTTTGCAGCAGCATGGAGATGGAAGCCACTATTTTAAAGTGAAATAACTCAAAAATAGAAAACCAAATACCATACAGTCTTACTTATAAGTGGGAGCTAAGATATAGGTTTGCAAAGGCATACAGAGTGGTGTAATGGACATTATAGACTCAGAAGGGGGGAGTGTGGAATGGGGTTAAGGGATAAACAGTTGCTTATTGGGCATAATGTACACTTCTCAGGTGATGGGTGCCCTGCAATCTCAGACTTCACAATTCTACAATTCATCCATGTAACCAAAAACAACCACTTGTGCCCCAAAAGTTATTGAAATTATATATATGTGTACTTTTTTAAATAAATATGTTTCATATTCTCAAGTAATCACCTTGCAGACAGTTCTATGTCTTGGCATCCCTGGGGTCCACAACAGTGAGCCATTCCAAAATGACACAGTGGAAATTATCCTGAACTATGTCATAAATCTTAATTTAAACTTTGTACAAGTCACAGGACAGAGCGAAAGAAATGGAAATATATGTCTTAAGGTCTTAAATTACACATGAAATGGTAGATTGCGATAAGTTAAAGATTCATATTTTAAACCCTAGATCAATTATTTAAAAAAGAAAACATGGCAAAACACTAAAAATTGAGTAAACAAGGTGAAATGAAATAATGTACAATACTGAATCCAAAAGAAAGCAAGAAAATGGAACAGAGAGTGAATAAAAAATAGTAAGATATAAAATATAAACCAAACTATGAGAAATTACATTAGTATAAATGTCCTAAACTATCCAATTTAAATATTCAGCATATATTAGTCAATATAATAAAATACCCAATTTAAATTTCAAACGAGATAAAAAAAGATCCAATTGTATACTGTCTACAGGAAGCTCATTTTAAATACAAAAACTCAAGACAGATTATAGTAAAATGAAGAGAAAAAGGATGCAAATACAAATTTTAAAAAAGCTAAAGTCACTATAGTCCTATCAAGAAAATTAACCATCAAACAAGAAATATTACCAAGGATGTCAGCAAATATTAATTTAATAATTAGTGTGAATCTCTCCATAAATTCAATAATTCCCAGTCAAAATCTCAGCTGTTTTTGTCAACAACTAGTAGTTGATTCTATATATTAGACATTTCTGGGTTTTGAGGGAAGGATTAAGCTTAGATTGGAAGATAAATATATCTTTGACTAAAACAAAAAGAAGAGGTTAAAAAAGATGTGAGAAACTACATGGAAGACAGGGAGAAGACCCATGTGATGACTGTGTATCTCTGTCCATTAGGCAGTGAGGTCATCGGCTGAATTGAGTAACAGGACAGTAGTCTGAACATCTTGAAAAGGGGATTAATATTTTGAAATACTCTCTGAATTTAACGGGAAAATGAGCAGGCTAGGGATGCACACAAGAATTTTGAAGTGAGGGCTGAGAGCTGAGGTCAGGTTTGAAAACATGTATCTGTATAGGCACCATTTTGGGGCTTTATCTACGGCAATTCTCAGAGGCTAGAGTTCAGATGACAAAATTTGGGATTTATAACAGGACTATCTCCCCAAGGCTCCAGTGGACAGGCTGTAGTGATCAGGAAATCAGAAGATAACAGCAAAGATGAGGGAGGGAGGAAGGTACAGCTGAATGATATAGGCATCCAAAAATATACACTTTTCCTGAGCTTAGACAGGAATATGCTAGCTCCTGTGTTTCCATCATTCTCTCTCTGTCTCTCACACACACACACACACACACACACACACACACACACGCTGCACAGGCACCTGTGAGACGAACAGTAGTTCATCTAAGACTGACGTTAGTTAGATCTAAGGAATCTTACTTACTTAGGGATGGAATCAACAAAAGAACACTGTAGCTAGAAGATGTCAAGCTTCCCTTATTTATTATTTTTTTGAGACTGAGTTTCACTCTTCTTGCCCAGGCTGGAGTGCAATGGCACGATCTCGGCTCACCACAACCTCCGCCTCCTGGGTTCAAGCGATTTTCCTGCCTCAGCCTCCCGAGTAGCTGGGACTATAGGTATGCGCCACCATTCCTGGCTAATTTTGTATTTTTAGTAGGGATGGGGTTTCTCCATGTTGGTCAGGCTGGTCTCGAACTCTCGACCTCAGGTGATCCGCCAGCCTCAGCCTCCCAAAGTGCTGGGATTACAGGCATGAGCCACCATGCCTGGCCAAGCTTCCCTTTAAAGAACATACGTGCAGACGGTATTGGAATTTGGAGTCCATAGAGATTAACCCTCCATGTTCACGGATGAAAAAAATGACAATCAAATTTCTCATGTGCAGATAAACAATATCTACAATATTGGAAATAAACTGCATCAGTTTGTGGAATCATATGGGTCTATTCAAAACCATTGCTTACATTTCTTTTAATGAACAAATAGAATCCAGTTTAGGATTAGTTTCAGCTTGAGACAGGTGAAGTTTAGAAGGGCATTGCTTTCTCCTTTATAACAATATCAAAAGTCAAACCAATTGCAAATTCACAATTTTTCATGAACCCATTAGAGAGCTGAGGTTTCAAGGTAACCAATTAACCAGCAATCTAACACCTGTATGTGATTGTCTATAGCAGCTTTATTCACAATGGCCCAAAACTATAAACTGAAATGTCCTTCAATCAGTGAATGGATAAACAAACTGCAGTACATCCATGCAGTGGAATACTCATTAGCAATGATAGGAACCAACTATTGATACACACAACACAGGGAATCTCAAGTGCCTTTGCTAAATGAAAAGGAGAGATAAACCAAAAAGGCTGCAAACTGCATGATTCCATTCATATGGCATCTGGAAAGGCAAAACTATAGAACAAAAGAAATCAATGTTTGCCACAGGCTGAAGGTGGGGATAAGAGTCAACAACAGAAGAGCTGTGTTAGAAGCATTCTGTAACTTCATTGACCTTTTACACAGAATCCCTATCATCATTCCAAAGAAGTCTTGTTCCATGCAGTCATTTTGGGAAATGCTGCCATAATAAAGAGAAAATTAGCTTTGGAAATTAAAGAGGCTCAAGTTAGAATCTCTAGTTCTTTCAGAAATATGACCTTGAGTGAGTCATTAAACATCTCTTAAGTTCCAGTTTCCTCATCTGGTATATGAGAGTTGTTGTTGGGATTTATAGAACAATGAATATAAAATACTTAAAAGATAATTGATTACTCTCCTTCCTTTCCTCTGCTCGTTCTAAAAGGTCACCCTGTAATGTCAGTAAATGCTAGCATTATTAGCACTCCTCCCTCCTTTTAGAAACCTAATTTGCTGTTTCTACGTGGTGTGCAAAGCCAGGTAATAATGTATCTAAAACATGAGTACCTGTGTTTTGATTGACGATCTGAAGGTCTCTTAATTACGCATTCTCTTGTGGGATTTAGGTTTTGTGGAAGCCATCAATGGATTTAGTTGTGAGAAGCTTCTGAAGTAAGAAGCAGGGGAAATGAGCAGGCACTGAAAAATCTTGGATATTAAAAATAATCCCCCAGAAGGCAAAGTGACCTCCATTTGTTTATGCTCTCCAGCCCACGCTGAACAAGCTGCCACAAAGAGCTTTATTACACAACTACAGAGCAAAATTATTTTCTCCACGTATTTAATAATGAGTGGGGGATGTTCAAATGAGAAAGGAAAAGCTAAGGACAATCTCTCGCAATCTCCCGTCTCTCACACAGAGAGAAAAATAGTTAAGAACCTCTTGCAACAGCCTAGGTGAGAGGCTAAACTAGGAAGGGGGAGAGGGGCGGGCAAATAGGGCCGTACCTGAGAGAGAACCACCTGGGAAGAATCCTCAGTGGCTTACACTTCCTTAATCCTGCCCTCACTTTGACCCTGCCCATTAAAAAAAAAAAAAACTTCTAAAATTTCAGGTGTGACTAGGAAGATAATGGCACCCTGAGCAGAAATAGGGAGGTTGGAAGGAAGTAGGATGATGGGAAGAAATTAAGGAGTTTGATTAGGGCAGGGTAAGTTGAAGGTACCAGCGGCATGTCCAGGCAGAAGGTCCAGAGGACAGTTAGCCTTTTCTCGAATTCGCTTTCCTTTTTTTTTTTCTTCGAGACAGTCTCACTCTGTTGCCCAGGCTAAAGTGCAGTGGTATGATCTCAGCTCACTGCAACCTCTGCCTCCTGGGTTCAAGTGAATTCTCCTGCCTCAGCCTCCCCGAGTAGCTAGAATTACAGGTGCCCACCACCACACCTGGCTGATTTTTGTATTTTTAGTAGAGACGGAGTTTTGCCATGTTGACCAGGCTGATTTCCGACACCTGACCTCAGGTGATCTGCCCACCTTGGCCTCCCGAAGTGCTGGGATTACAGGCTCTAATTCACTTTCAATAGCGAACTTAAGAGCAAAGGTGTCACTTATTTCACTTTATATATCTGGTATCAGGCATAGGATCCAGCCCACTCTTTAAGGAAGAAAGGAAGAGTGGAAAGGGAAAGGGAGAGAGGGCGGAAAGGAAGGAAGGAAATGTGGTACTCACAGGCAGTGAAGATCAGTGCGACCTTCATGTTTGGGATCAATTCCCCCCAGAAATACAAGTTGAAACCAGAAAAGTGGTTGAAATCTCCAAAGCAGAGAGAACAGAGAGAGAGTGAGTGTGACCTACATGGAGGAGTCAGGAACAGGAGAAGCAGCTTGCAAAGGACAGATAGCAGAGGTCAGGGTGGAAGCGAAGAGAGTAGTTCCAAGAAGGCGGCATTAATCAACACGATTGAAGGCTGTTATGTGCCCGAGAAGTGAGGATAAACTAAGAAAGGCTGCTCTTTCTCTGACTCTATATAAAACCTAGAAACTGAAGCAGTCACTAAAAGATTGCTCTTCATGACTCCCTTTCATCATGGCCATTCACTATCGCATCATAAGCACAGGACGCTGTCATCCCAGACTCTAACCTGAGCCTCACACAAAATGGCAAGTTCCATATGACAACTGTTGAGATGAAGAAAAAGATGAAAATCAGGCCAGGTAAAAAAAAGGACAAGAAGTCAGTGCTTCTCCAGCTTTCGAAGAGAACTTTACAGCGTATTTCACCTTGGGAGTCTATTACCATCTCTCGGGTAGACGGGAAAGAGCCTTCAGTATTACTAATTGGATTCAACAGATGTATATTGGTTATCCACTAAATGCAAGACTCCATGCTAGGAACATAAAGCAGTAATTTGTAAGCTTTAGCCTGCCTCACAATCACGAGGACTATGTGTAAAAATAAATACCCCTGGGCTCCAGCCCAGAACTTCTGACTTATCAGGTCTGGGGAGGGGGGCTGAGAATTAGCATTCCTCACCAATTCCCAGGTGGTCCTGCTTCTGCAGGCCTAGCAACCACACTAAGTAAGCTGGGGTGACTTAATTCAACAAGCAAGAAGTGTACCTAATTCTATACTGTATCACGATCATTTCAGACATAGTTAACTCAGCATTCCTGAAATGAAAATCAAAATCAATCAGAGGCTACATACTTCTTACCTTAACAAGCAGGCCTGGAGCAAAATATACTCATATCATCTGTAGAATAAAAAATAAATCAGTGCACCTACATCTCCTTATCTGTTGTATTAGTCTGTTCTCACGTTGCTAATACAGACATACCAAAGACTGAGTAATTTATAAAGAGATTTAATTGACTCACAATTTCACATGGTTGGGGAGGCCTCACAATCATGGCAGAAGACAAAGGAAGAGGAGAAGCAAAGACACCCCTTACGTGGCAGCAGGCAAGAGAGTTTGTGCACGGGAACTCCCATTTATAAAACCATCAGATCTCGTGAGAGTTATTCACTACCATGAGAACAGTATGAGGAAAATCACGCCCATGATTCAATTGTCTCCACCTGGTCCTGCCCTTGACAGGTGGGGATTATTACAATTCAAGGTGAGATTTGGGTGGGGATACAGCCAAACCATAACACCTGTGTAAAGATCTTCAAGAAGAAAAAAAAAAAAATCTCTAATTATTTCTCTTAATCCAAAAATAACTGGGCCTCATTCACTGAACCTACCCCTCACATTTGTACCCAGCCTTTTCTGTAACTCACGTTCAATAGTGAACTTCTTCAGAGCAAAGGTGTCATTTACTTTCCTTATACATCTAGTATTGGGCATAGGATCTAGCCCACTCTTTAAAGAAGAAAGGGAGAGTGGGAAACAGGAAGGGAGGGAGGGCAGGAAGGAAGGGAGAAAGGGGAAGGAGGGATAAAAGGGAAGGAAGAAACAATGGAAAGAAGAAAGGGAGGAAAGTAAGGGAAGGAAAGGAGGGAGGGAGGGAAGGAGAAACCAGCCTAGTTTAATTCTTGGACTCTACAGAGCTGACCAGGCAGCTCATTTTTGGTACTGTTCCCTTTCTGATCAACAGGTCTTGCCACTGTGCAATTCTCCTCTGTTCTGGTCTGTTTCCATCCTGCAACTTTTACTTCATTCTCCTCATTCCTTCCTCCAGTGTGACTCCTGTTCCAGCCAGGGGCTGTCTCCCAGCCCACCCTCCTCTGTGTATTGTTATTTAACAATCCTAGCCAATGCCACTTTCACACTTTAAATAGCCCATCACTCTCTCCACTGCCCAGCCCAAATCCCAGTTATCTTTGGCTCTCCATCTCCTTTATGGTAGATTCCCAGGCAGTCTCCACATCCTCCTAACTCTTCCTTCCTGCAATTCCTCATGGGTCCCTTCTCTCCCAGCCTCATTACCACTACTCTTGTGCCTTAATTGTTAAAGCCATCGTGTAACTGGGCTCCCTGTTCCACTACATCCCTCCTCCAACTAATCCTACACACTATCACCACATCAGTTATCCTTAAACACCATGTTCATTATCAAAGCAGCCGTTATTCTTTATTAAGCACTTAATATGTGTCCAACGTAACTGTAAACATTTTATATGCATTATGTCATCTAATTCTCACCCCATGAGATGCTTTATTATCCACATTTTAGAGATGAGGTAACTAAAGCCTATGCATCTACAAAGACTTGCTTACAGGACTTTTTTAAAGGGCCTTCGCAAGTCAACCTGCATTCCTAATACTTCTTCTCACTCTCCTCTTCAAAAACCTCTGTGCTAGTCAACATTGTCTACTGATGCCTCCAGATCAGGTTGTACCTCCCCACCTCTATTGTTGAGTGTGTCTCTCAGAGCCAACGTAGATTACCAACCAGGCATGTATAGGACTCATTGAAGAGCTCACAGGTCTGGGTAGCAATTCCAACACTCCTGTGTAAAGCACTTCCTGCTTCCAAGAAAACCATAAGCACAGCCGACCCATGAAACTTGACCTCTGCAGCCCTTCAGGCCACTCCTGCTCAGGCCCAGGAAGGGATGTTCTCCTATTCCTTGGTGGCAGAAGTTTCTCAGTCCCTGGTCCCTGCTTCAGATCATTCCTGACCCTCTGGAGTATGATCCAATAAATCCTATAAATATATTTGCACCATCATCTGGCCATCTGAATGGCCATCCGGGTAATCAGACATACAGAAAAGCACAAACTCAGCAAAATATAGCAATGTGCTTGAGAGAGAAAGAGAGAGAAAGTGTGTCACCTGGACATGCATCTGTCTATCACTTACTGTAACTGGGTAGCCAGATACACGCTGCATGCATAGATTGTCATGCAGTCTCTTGGTACACTTCCTCACAGCTTTCAGATCTCCACTAAAAGGATTCTCATCGGAGAGTCCTTCCCTGACTACCCTGGCTAAAATGCAACCTGCTTCCCCTCACACCACTTCAGCTTTCTTCACAGAACTGCTGTTGCCCATGTACTCCCTTGCATGCATGTCTGCCCCACTCACATGTAAGCTTGGTGAGTCAGGTGCTTTGCCTGTTGCTTCTTGTTGTAATCTCAGAATCTAAAACAATACCTGGCACTTACAAGGCTTTCAGTAAATATTTGTGGAGAGAATGAATGTAGAGAAGATGACTATAAAGTAATGAGAGGGAATAAAAGCCTCATTTGAAATGATCTTATTTTAATTCAAATGCATATGTAATAGCAAGTTTTTAGTTAAATGGAAATGAGCGGGCCTATTGAGAAGTACACTAGCCTTTTCCCAGTTTCCAATCAGTGTATATTTAATCTGGCTCCAGCTCCACTCTTCATTTGGCAGCATATAACCAAAGGGTAGGAATAATTTCTTATAGCAGTGAAAAACTTCTGTAGGAATTCCCTTGCATTTGCAACCCACTTAGCTATGGAATCATTGCCCAGTTGCCTGGCCTATAGATCGGGATAGATGTCTAGGTATCAAAGAATGGTGATCAGATATGTACCTGTCCTATTTTCTGCTTGATGTTAAGAGACATTTTCAAGTGCAGTTATAAAGGGAAAGAGAAAATTGGAAAGAAAAAATGGAGGTTGAGAAGCAAACACAATGATTTAAATTTTTCTTAGGAGACAAAGAAGTTTTCTTAAGATTCTGTCTGACTCCAAGATAAAACAGATATGCATGTCATCCTCTCCCCAGGCCATAACCATCAGTTTAACCCCATACATGATTTTTATGCCCATGAGGCAACATTTCACCATTTCAGGACATAATGATGATAAAATAATTGATGGTGATGTACCCTACCCTGAATATAAGACAGCTTATGCAAACTTTCAGACAGATCCAAGGGAGACACCAGGTTTCAAGGCTTCCAAGAAAGCCAGGGCAGTCTTTGACCAAATCTAGGTAGCCAACACCCACCCTCTTCCACATCACTCTCCTAGGAAAGCCAAAGGTATATCCATTTCTGGAATATCCTAGCCAAGATACATGCTAGATAAATGAAAAACACCTAGAAAAAGCTCTGATGAAAGAGCAATTGCTGCTGGCCACCAATAACAGAACCCACTGCTCTTCCTTGCAGTGTGTGTGTACAGGTCTGGGGCCTGCCAGGTCTGAACGGAGAGTTTCCCTTAGGCCTGTCCTGGCCCTGTAGCTTCCCTTTGGCCATAATGGACGATGGCATAGCCAAAGCCAGGCGTGGTGGGGAAATCTGCTTCCTTACTTTTCAAATTAATCTTTCTCCCCAATGTGTAACAGCACTCAATGTTTTGTTGTGTATTTTACTTTGTGATACTAGAGAGAAAAAAATCCTGAGTATTTTTGGTTTTGCTTTTTCTCTCACCTTTGTTTTTTATAGAATGAAGCCTTTGAAGGTTACCAGGCAACAGAAATACGAGCAATTAGAGAATGGTATGTAGTGAAGCTAAAGCAAATTCAATCAATCACTTGTTTGGCACCAACTATATTCAAGACATAGTAAGTGGCCACTTACAATGATGGAACAAAGAATCATAGAAGGCAGGACCTATTCTCAGTGATGTATTTTGTTTGAAATTTATTCCACCATCTAGAAGCAAAATGGTGACAATTGAGAATTTAAAAATGACATTTGTCTTTAAAATTAGCATTCCAGTGAAAATTCAAGTGAAGATTTTCCAGAAAAAATAAAGTGATTCTGTACAATAATTTGTCCCTCTAGATCTCCTATCTATCCTTCAACCTGCTTTGTGCCCTAAGAGGCTGATATTTACGGGCTATAATCATATCAAAAAATATTTTGTCCTCTGGCTTCTGGTTATGTTTGGCTTAACTTCTTCAAGCCAATGGGAGAGCTCTGGCAGGAAACTGGAAGGAGAGGAATGAGGTTCAGGTATTTATTTCTCAGCAACCTTCTTGCAGAGTCAGCTCAGGCTAGCTCTGTGCCTTGGCCAACTCCTCTTAAGTTGATCCCACACATATAACTCTTTCCTTGCTTCCAGTAACCACTTCCTTGACCTACCCCTCAGCCCTGCATGTCTACTGTGCTTGTAGTTTACCTACAGCCTATTTATAACATTGCAAATACTCTCTTTATTAAAATTTCCTCAAAATATTGTGATAGTACCACCTGATTCCTGGTAGGACTCCAGCTAATGCATATCTCAAGTCTGCTAAAGGAGAATATGGACCAGAGTGAGGGGAAGGAGCCAGTGGAGAGGAAGAGACAGAAAGTACAGAAGAAAGAGAAAGAAATATGTAATGCAATCCTTGTATTTGGCTAGATGAGAGAGAGGGATGTACAGAGTCCAGACATAAGAATTAGTCTTGAACAGAGAAGTCATCTTCTTGGACTGCAGGGAAAAAGACTAATGTGATTTTTACAGATAAGTCCATTTGTCAGTGTGCAGGCAAAAACGTAGAGCAATTTATACCTGATTATCATAATTTTCCCAGTGAGGTAGGAGTCAAAGTCATTTGCTAAGACTGAATGAGACAGGAGTGAGGTAGAGGACCCAAGGATTGTTGTGTTGAAAGTTTTGAATAGCCACTGAAGAAAGGGAAAGAATTACATAAACTGGATTCAGGGAAAAGCTCAGGTGATTCTGGAGATGATGATTCTGTAATGGCACCAATCCACCTGGCACTGACAATTTCCCTTTAGCAGCTCTTAGAATCCTTGCTGTAAGGCTGGGCATGGTGGCTCATACCTGTAATCCCAGAACTTTGGGAGGCCAAGGTGGGTGGATCACCTGAGGTCAGGAGTTCGAAACCAGCCTGGCCAACATGGCAAAACCCCGTCTCTACTAAAAATACAAAAATTAGTCAGGTGTGGTGGTGGGCACCTGTAATCCCCACTACTCGGGAGGCTGAGGCAGGAAAATCACTTGAACCCAGGAGGCAGAGGTTGCAGTGAGCCAAGACTGTGCCATTGCACTCCAGCCTGGGCAACAAGAGCGAAACTCTGTCTCAAAAAAGAATAAAATAAAATAAAATAAATCATTGATGTAAGAGTAGGAAAGTGAGGCCAGGAACGGTGTCTCATGCCTGTAATCCCAACACTTTGAGAGGCCAAGGTGGGCAGATCACCTGAGGTCAGGAGTTCAAGACCAGCCTGACCAACATGGAGAAACCCCGTCTCTACTAAAAAAATACAAAATTAGCCAGGCGTGGTAGCACATGCCTATAATCCAAGCTACTCCGGAGGCTGAGGCAGGAGAAACGCTTGAACCTGGAGGTGAAGGTTGCAGTGAGCCAAGATCGCGCCATTGCACTCCAGCCTGGATAACAAGAGCGAAACTCCGCCTCAGAAAAATGAAGAAATAAATAAAATAAAAAGAGTAGGAAAGTGGATGACAAAAGTCTTTCAAAGCAGCAATTGCAGGGCAGGTAAGATGAGGCTATTGAAGTGCTAACAGAATGATTTAAAGGATTATGTGTTCTAGAGCTACACAGAACCTCAGTGTACCTCTTTCCAACTACATCACTTGAGGGAAAGTATCTAATCATCCTCAGTTATAGTTTCTTCATTTGTCAACTGGAGATAATAATAGCATCTAACCATAGAGTTTTTAGAATCAAATATGATTATTCACATAAAGTGGTTAGTAGCATACCTAATATCTAGAACACACTTACTAAATGTGATTTTTGTTATTACTAATAAAATGTTGACAGTGGTGGGGAAAAATGATAGCTAAATAATGCAATGGAGTTCTCGACTAGATGGAGAAGAAGTCAAGCTGTAGAGGAGACTTGTGGACTGGAGAAAGAAAGGAAATGAGAAATCAGAGTGAGATCTAAGCCCAGGGTATTTGGGACAAGAGGAAGGTCTACAGACATGGAAAGTTGTCGTAGGTCGAAAATGATTCTTGGAGTTTATTATTTCAGAGGGGATGCAGAGCTGGCTCACGTTAGTATTGTCCAACATACAGGATACCACAATCCCTTCCACAGCCAGGAAGACAACTTATCCATCATGGCCAGACTCTGTTGAATATGGAAATAATCCATGATCCAAGTGGCCATGCCCTCAACTAATGAAGAAGAATGCCTGATATAACAATGGCCTGGTCAATTACTATGGTTAGGTCAGGAAAGGCAAAGGAGAGATTGTTGATGGCATATTCATGCCCTGTGAGATAAGGGAACAACTGTCTCTACTCAAGAGAGCTATAAGGAGATAGCATCCTTAGGAGGAGAGCTAGGTTTCAATTTAAGTGAAAAGTGAAGTAATCCCAATCATCAAGCCACAAGTGCTTCCTTGATGGGGTAATGTTGAATTACATTTCAATATGTTCTCAAAAATATGCGTCTTAAAATTTGCCATTTCTGTAGCAGTTTGTTAAAAAATTTGGCTTATCATTATGGATTAATTTACTATAAATTAAAGAGTATGTCTCATTTTGTGAATGGGAAAAATAAAAATACACATATGATAAATATTAAAATATGTATGTATATTAATGAGTAATATTTTATATACAAATGTCAACTTTTCCCTTTCTGGGTTTGAGAATCAAATGTAAAGCTTGTTTCATAATGACATTTATAATATGAACTTTAATAGTATGCTGACATGAGCAAAGCATTTTACTTCAAAGCACTTCTTCATCACATACCATACAAAAATAATTAAATGAATTTCAAATTCAAAAAAGAGTCCAAAGAATTATGTAATATTGCAAAGGGAGCTCATGAGTTTAAAAAATGTAGTCTAAGTTAAGTAAAGTTAAAGAAAAGTATTAGAAAGAATTCTGTAAAGAGACTAAAGATAAAGAAAAATAGAAAAATGTATTTATATGAAGGATGCTGGTAAGAAGCAGCAGTAGGAAGAGTTATATAGAAGAAAGCCTGGGGAAAAGAAGAGTAGGAGATGGGGAGATAGGAAACTGGAGGGGCTGCCTTGCAGGTGATATGGATAACAGGGGTAGGGCACAAGATCGGGGCTGGCTGGACTCAAGGTTTCGTTGGTGGTGGGCAGAGTCATACAGGAGACCACCGACATGGTTAACTCACACACTGTGACCTGCCCAGTAGACTGTAGGTTTTGTTTGCTCTGCGATCCAAACAGAATCCTAGTGAGGTGCCACTTTGGTGGCCATGAGAAGGGCCCTTGAGAATGATTAAAGGGTAAGAAATGACCACACCTGAAGGCAGACTATGCACAGATAGTAGAGATAGTGTCAGGGACCCTCATCTTCCAGTCGCATTCACTGTGGCCACAGTCATAGGAAGGTCTGAGACTTCGCACCATGGCCTCATGAGTGCATGATGAGGCCAAGGTCACTGCCTCTGAAGAGAACGCCACTGACCATAGGGTAAATAGGGGAGATTAAAAACAAAAGTCAACTTTCCATGTGTCTCAAACCACTATTAAAAACAAGATAAAGAGATTTCTTTTAAAGGTCTACATAGACAAAGACAAAGAAAATAGGAAAATATACTTCTCCTTCCCTGCCACCAAAGAGAAGACTGGGCGTTTCCTAAGGAGTCCAGCTGGCATGGCTTACGGGAATGCCGGGCACCATGAGGATCGGAGTTCTGCACAGGGGGTATGGGAAAGTTTATACATACTGAGCAGGGCACCTCACAGACCCGTCCTCTGTCTAACTCCTGAAATAAAAACAGCCAGGCCTATAAGTCCTCAGAAGAAGATTGCAAGACTCCTTTCTGGATAAACCAACCAGCCCAGTGAAACAGCCTCACCTGCCATCCGCAGTGAACCCGCCAGTCAACAGTCCCTATGCAAAAGGACATTTCGGAATTTCACTCTCAAATATTAAATACTGCCATAGATCATCAGATATTTGAGGAAAGCCTGAAAAATGAAAAACAGAAACGAAAACAAACAGAATAAAAGGTCCTGAAGCAAACAGACCATTCGAGAAGAAGCAGAAAAAAAAAAAAAACCAGTTATCATTGATGTGCTTATGGAGATAAGAAAACAGAACATGATGCTATTTTTAAAAAGAACATTCTAAGAACAAAAAAAAAAATCTTGGGAATTAAAAACATAACACAAATAAAACATTCAATGTAAGGAAGTTGGAAGAGATGATAAAATATTCTAAAGAGTAAAACAAAAGCCAGAGATGGAAAAAAAAAAAAGCAGAAATTAAAATACTGTAAAATTTGGAGAATCAAACTAGTATATTCAATATCCAAAGAATTTGATACCCAGAAAGAAGAATTAATGTATTAGTAATACAAAAGATTTCCCAAAACTACAGATTAGGAGTTTGCAGATTGAAATGGTCTAACCGTGGGTTCAACATAATAAATATTTTTTAATTCACACCTTGGCATACTATTATGAAATTTCAGAACTCCCAGGATAAAAAGAACAAAAACGCTTTCCAAAAGAAAATACAATTCACATCAAGAGATAGAAATCAGAACGGCAATGATCTTTTTAATGGCAACTCTGGAAGTTCTGAGTCAATAAACCAATTCCTTCAAAAATCTAATAGAAAATTACTTTTTAACTAGAATTATATATCCAGACAAAATATGAAATAAGAAACTAAAATAAAGACATTTGCAGACACCTAATGTGTCAGAAAATTTTCCTCCCAAGATATTCAAGTTAGATGCAGAAAGTTTGATAGCATCAGGGACAAAGAGAAGATGCCAAAACTATTCAACGGATTAAAATTGATTATATACCAAAAAAATCAATAGTTAAAATATATCAGCCTTTTAAATAGCAATACTGCATACTAGAATAAAATGGAACACAGCCTTCAAAATTTTTAGGGAAAATCAGTTTCAACCTAGAATTCTTTATTCAATCAAACTATCAAGCAAGTGCTGGAGTAGGTAAAGATGGGTTTGTGTCCATGCTATATAGGGTTAACTATTAGGACTATCACCTCATCCTGTGGCTATGGAGAAACTAGCTGTTCTACCAGAAGGCCATGGCCCAGGTGGTACCTCTCCCTGCTACATTGTGTGCAAGCAGAGTTAGGATATGTGGTACAGGCTGGGTGCGGTGCAATAGGAGAGGAATAAAAGGGCATTTACATCGAGCGTAGTATCAGTGGTGCTCTCTGGAGTCGTTCGGTTTTGAAAGGGTTACAACTGTAGTCGCCATTAAAAAAAAAAAATAAGCTTCTAGCAGTTTAGGTAAAATGATATTCAGTATCTTATGTTTGGAAAAAAGCCAGATAGCAATCTGACACTTACTAAATATGTTCAATTATCATACAAAAATGCTGTGGTGCTGTGTCTGCTAACTATTTCAACATATATAGGCTGATTATATTTTTCCTTTTTTAGTCTATCGATTCTAAATGAATATGAATAGAGTATAAGTGAAAGCTTTAGATGCTTCAAAAAACCACTCTTTGCAGATTCTAAACCAATCAAACGTGTTATCTGTAATCCATTAGTAAAAGCACATGCTATGACCTATCTGGGTGGGGTAAGGAGGAAAGAATGAAGGACAATGTAGGAGTGAACTGGATTGCATTTCAGAGGAAACCTCCTCCGGGCTTGATTATCAAAGTTAACCAGTCTGAGATTTAATAACACATAGCAAAGCACACACCAATTAAAATTCAAAAGAAAAGCAAATAAAAAAATATTTCATCAGAAAACTTCAGAATCACAAGAGATATTACAAACCACATAGGATATTTGAAGGCCTCAAAAGTAGGTGAGAATTTAGAATATGACAGTTAGTTCAAGTGGCATCCAAGTGCCACTCAATTTGTATATTGCTCACTTACTAACATCCCTTAAATGTATCCTATATATTCCACCATCTCCACCTATCCTTGAGCCCTGACCTTCACCTAAAGTATCTTCCCTACCATCCAGATCCTACCTAACATTTAGAGTGAAGCTCAGACTTCAGTGTCTTCACCTAAGCCTTGTCTGATCTCCCCAACCCATAGTTTTTGCTGTCATTTGCTGGCCAGTAGCACCTTTTCTCTAGGTACTAAGAGAGATCTAATGAAGTAGCAGGTCTTGTTTCATCAATTAGGTTTTGAGCCTTTTGAGAGCAAAGATGTTGTCTTGGAATCCATGCATTCAGCAGCATTTAGCAGCATGTTAGGACACAGTAGGCACTCAGTAGGCACTCAACAATTATTTTTCTGTGCAATATGACAGAAAAAAAAAAATTCTTCCCTCACACCAAGGCAAAATGCTTCTTTAATTAGGATCCTGCCGCATGACCACAGATTCAGAAACTTGGATAAAGTAGTTTTTGCCTCAAAAGGAATGTAAAAAACACTGTAACCACATTTTTAATACACATTTTCATTATATTTAAACTATAGCATTTTATTAGAACGTAAAAAGTGCCTAAAACATGGCTATAGTCCTACCTGCTACAGGAGCAGCATTGGAAACTCTTCCTCATTACACCTTTCTTATTTTTCCTGATGTTACACTCTCCTGGCATTCTTCCTTCCCCTCTGGTTATGCCTTGTCTATTTTAGTTAGGGGCTTATCTTCCATTTGAAATGCAGGAGCTCCTGTAAGCTCATTCTGGGGTTCTCATCTTATTCCATGCTCTCTTCTAAGCCATCTTATTATCTATGCCCATGGCCTCAAATACCATGACAGCTCTAAAATTTACATCTACAGTCCAGACATCTTCCTAAGCTCTATAATTATACATCCAGCTGCCTTCCCTGTTTTAATGTCTCACAAGCAACTCAAATTCAACTTGCCTAAATTGAACTCAAGATCTACTCTCTTTCTCAGCTGTGTAGCTCTGCAAATGGTCTCACCATCCACTCCGTGCTGAAAGCCAGTAACTCTATGGTTATACCTGACTTTCTTTATCGTTCAATCTCTCCAGCCAGTCTATTGTCAGGCTCTCTTTTTCATACCTGGTCTGTTGTTACTCAAATAACAAACCATCTCTTCTGCCACCATCCAGTGCAACCTATTGTTATCTGATGCTTGAGTTACTCCCATACTCTCCTAACTGGTCTCTCCAGAGCCAATCTGATCAGCCTTCCAATCCATTCTCCATGCAAAAGTCAATATCATCTTTTCAAACACAAATATTATATTACTCCCAAGCTGAAAACCTTCCACTAGTTTCTCATCAGACTTAGAATAATATCAATAATGGATACCATGGTATACATCAAGATCCTTCCCTTCAGACCAGGACATGCATTCCCCCAGCTGCTGAGAGTATAAAAGCTGACAATTGTCAGCTGAATCCCTCTCCTGGACTTGTCCTCAGATGAAGAGAGCCACTCAATTAAGAAAGCACACCCTTCCCCACTGCACTTCTCAATTGGCTACTGGTCAACTTGTCATTGAGAAAGCATAAAGACCCAGCCCCCTCACCTAAGCTTTGGTAATTCTGAGAAGCCCTCCTAGCTCTCTATAGAATGAACTGACATATTTCTTGAGACTATACCCTAATTCAACTTATCCTCTTTCTAGTCCCACTTGCTTCACTCTTTTACAGGTATTGATCCCTAAAGTACTCATCAATAAACTCCCTGCATGCTGCTTATGTACATCTTGAGTCTGCTTTTTGGGAAACCTGGCTTGTGACAATATCCTTTACATGATCCAGACAGCCACGTGTGATCCGACCTCTGCCAACATCTATATTACACTTCCCCAAGCTCTCTCTGTTCCTGTCATTTCGGCCATCTTTTAGCTCTTTAAATATGCCCTTTTTCTTCCTGCTTCAGAATCTTCACATGCCTTAGGCTCTACCTGGGACACTTACTGCCAGATGACTTCCACTCCCCAATTCCTTCATTATCATTACTTCACCTTTTTGAATAATTCTTATTCTATATTCAAATCTCAACTCTAGCTCAAGGAAGTCTTCCCTGGCCTTCAAGGACAGCTAGCTTTCCTTTTATCAGCTCTCACTGCCTATTATACCTCTCTTTCAAGGTACTTTAAAGGAACCATAATCAAATATTGCATAATCAATTGTGAAATATTTATCTCCCTTGATATAACATCAAATTCAATTTCACTTGTTTGCTACAATAAACTTTGCATACAGTAGGTGCTCAAAAAGTACTAATATACCATATGGAACATGCTATTTAATCAGTCATATAGCTGGAATTATATAATTCAATCCTCTTATAATAGTATATAAATAAAGGGAGATTAAGTAGTCACTGAAGTCAGATCGCTATATATTTACACAGGAAGGATAGTTTATAGCTTAATCCAACTCCTGATCCTCCTGATGTTAAAAAAAAAAAAAAACCATCTCTCCTAGCCTTCCAACAATTAAAGAATTATAGAGGTTACATGAAAAATTATAACCACTATCAAAATTGCCAAATCCCATCAGCAAATAAATCCAAGATAAGCCTTCCTAGAAATGTGTTTGGGGCAAAAAGAGGAGGGGCAAAGGATTCAGTGTGTGTTAGGAAGGGGATTGACTAACTCCAAATAAAACAAAGACTCTGAATAGTAGGGAATGTTCCAGATTGAGAAGAATGGTGGAAAAAGCTAGGGATGAAGATGCGTAAGAGCACTGAGTGATGTGGCAGAATGTAACATAAGTGCATATAACCCACTTTCTATTTTTCTATTATTGTGCATGACCAGCCACAATGTGGCTTTTTCACGTACACCTAGAGTGTAGACACAGAAGACAGTAATAAATCAGTTCACTCTAGCAAGTCGGATCTTAACATTCCTGTGATCGCTAAATATGTCAGAGTTTCCAGATTCATCTACAGTCTAGTTTTGCATGTTGGGGTTAAAGGAACTGCTGTTGTACATGGACAAAGCTTTCACCAGGACCTTCACATAGCACAACGCTAAGAGGTACCATTCACCTTGCATTGTATGTGAGTGCTGGCCCCTGTAGTTGTGCATTGTGGCAGCCCTAGTTGTAGAAATGTGGTTGATTAATTTGAACAGTAGTTGTCATAATTATATCTTTGGATCTCAGGATGAGTCAACAAATAAATGGTGGCAATTGTTTCATCACCTGCCGGGCAGTCAAGTTTCACAGTAAATAGCTTTAAGAGGAGCTAGAGTCAGGAGCCAACCTAGGGTAGGAAACCTAGGAGGAAGTGTGAATCAACCAAGAACAACTCTGGGACAGTATATGTGAAGCAAGTAGAAGATGACATATCAGTATTCAGGAGGGAAAGAGCGTTAGTGAATGTTTTGAATGTCACCATGAAGTCAGTACCAAAGGATGTTTAGAGAGTAACGTATGAAACCCAAAGCTTACGGTCAACAACAGAAACCAGGGATGAGCTGTAGATAATTCCAGAATAAACATCAGAGTCAGAAGTAGCAGTTAGGTGTGGAAGAGCTTATTTTGCTAATGCTTTACTTAACTGCCAGTGGGTTTGGAAGGCTGCAGGGTTTAGAGGGGTTGTTGCTGCGGGAGCTCCTGAAACTACCCTTTCAGCCCTCTATAGAGTTGTACCTTTTCCACGTCCGAGGACAATATGGGCAGCCGATAAAAGCAAATGTGTGTCCTGAGCACCAGTTACCCTCATTCATGGAAACAGACATCTTGGCTCATTCACAATCAAATATCACTTTCTTCTTTGAAGGAAATTGAGTACAGGGATTTTTTAAACCCAAATCACCTGAACAATGGTCTCAGCTCTTCTTTTTGTACCGAAGGCAGACTAAATGCAAGCAAGACATCTGTTACTAATCAAAACAGGCTCACCACCACCCCACTCTCCTCCAGGCCCAAACACTTCCCAGAAAGTTTCCTGGGCTGTGATGGAGCCGAAACCTCATTACGGGGAAGCTTCTCCAGGGCCTCCAGGAACAGAGAAACAACCCACGGCCACTTCGAGAGAGCATGGGTGTGAGGGTAAATTTTAGGTGTCAACTTGATTGCATTAAGGGATGCCCAGATCACCGCTAAAGCATTATTTCTAGCTATGTCTGTGAGGATGCTTCCAGAAGAGATTGGCACTTGAACCAGTGGACTGAGTAAGGAATATCCACCCTCACCCAGTATGGGACAGTGCCATCCAATTGGCTGAGGGCCCTGATAGAACAAAGAGCAGGGGAAAAACTAATTTACTCTATCTTTTCTAGAGTTGGGACACCCTTCTTCTTCTGCCCTTAGACCTCAGAACAACAAGTTCTCCAGCCTTCAGACTCCAAGGCTTACACCAGTGGCCCCATGTTCTCAAGCCTTTGGCCTCGGCCTGAGAGCTGCACCACTGGCTTCCCTGATTATCAGGCCTTTGGACTTGGCCTGAGCCGTGCTCCTGGCTTCCCTGATTCTCCAGGTCACAGATGACCTGTGATGGGACTTCTCAGGCTCCATAATCATGTGAGCCAATTTCCCTAATAGATCCCCTCATATCCATCCATCCATCCATCCATCCATCCATCCATCCATCCATCCATCTACCTATCTATCTATCTATCCATCCATCCACCTGTCTGTCTATCCATCCACCCATCTAGCTATCCTATTAGTTCTATCTCACAGGAGAACTCTAATACAATAAGTGAGCACACAGTAATCTCAAAATAAATGGCTCTCAAGGCACTCATCTTTAATGTATCAGGGTGCAATCTTCAAAAGGAAGATATGAAATCAAGGGTTGAGTAACACAAAACTTGGAGATCAGGTCCCTGCTGCATTTATTTTAAACCTAATAAAATAGGAGTGAGCTATGCAGTGATACGGTTGGCAAAAAGAGTTAAATAATCTGGGACTTGAGAGAAGATGAGGTGGGAACATAGGAAGGAGGGTCAGCGATCCATCTCATTCAAAGGCCAAGGACCCATAAACTCTCTCACAGAATGTTCTTTATGGCTCTTACATTTTTAGTGGCACATCAAGCCAAGCTGACTCTCTCAGCTATCCATTCCAAAAGCCTGTGTCTGAGAGCCAAGCTTCCTTCCCCCTCAGTAACTATACCACAGGATGGGACCGATACCAGCAGCAGCAAGTTCCTGGCTTAAGGCCAGCTGCTTTATTACTTATTAACTTATTTTATATAGCCTGCATCATGGCAAGAAAGCTTTCTTTAATTATCAACAGGAATGCAGAAGCCACAAGGGGGAATCAGAGCTAGAGAACTGCGGCTGCGCTGATTACACCATAGCTCTTATCAAAGCAGACACAGGGTTAGAGCTGCAGAGATAGGATGCTGGAAGCTTCCAGCAGTGCGTGGGAGGGAACCTAGAAGGCAGGCTCCCTGCCGGGTAATTGTGCTGGAATGAATTCTCAACAAAGAAGAGGTTTTTCTTCTTCCCTCTTCTTCTAGTTCAGGGAAGTTGAACATCACAGTTGCCAGAGACAGGACGTACAGATGAAGTGCAACCTTGATATGCAGGTGGCCAGTGCAGCAGAGTGCGATGGAGCTGTGAGGTCGTGAAGAACATAGAGAGAAGTGATCATTAAGCAGAGGCACTGGCAAAAAGGCAGCCTTGAACCTTGGTATAAGCACTGATAATTACTATGGAGGTTGGGCTGTCTCACGAGCATGCAGAGTCAGCAGCAACTTACTGGTTAGGCTGAAGAATGTCAGGATGATCTTTCCCCTGCCCAAATGTATCTCCCCTTTGGGTCCCCTGGGATCTAAGAGGTCATCATCTAAGAATCAGATCAAGTACTGCCTTCTTCCTAAAGTTACTAATACCTTCCCATAACTATCACAGCAAAACTTTAACCAGCAAAAGTACTTGGTGAAGAGAAATGAGACACAAGATAATATTGAAAAAGATATTGGGAGTACTAAAAACAAACCACCCATATCCCTGACTTCTCAGGCACATGAAATTTCCAGAATGTAGCATCTGATGGATATTATGATTCTGTCCTAGAATATAATTCTGTTTGGGAGAATTTGGGGAGCCATGCCTTTGGTTAGGCTCCAATGAGAAGACATACCTTAATGCAAGACAACAGAAACAGACTAGAATGAGACTAGATGTTGAGAAAAAAACTTGTCTTCAGTAGACATCCACAGAAAGAAATTTAGCTTTCTGAACCAGAAGAGAAATTCTTTCTGCAGAAGGAAATTCAGTTTATCTGAAACCCCTAGCACACACTAGGATACAAAAACCCTCATCACACAAAATTAAGACACTGCAGTGGTAGAAAAAGCACTCTGCTAAGAAACAAGTCAACCTGTGCTACGTGGTGAATATCATAATGAAAGATTGGTGTGGGAATGTTGTATGTATCACATCCCTCAGAGGGCTGGTAAAAATTTACATCACCCTGATGCAAGAGACAAGCAACTACCTCAAGTAAACTCATAGAAAAGAGCTGAGCTATAAAGTTTTGACAGTAAAAACTTTGGGGAAGCAGAACAACATTTTAGTATAGAACAAGTTGAAAGAAAATGACAAAGTGAGGGGGGTGGTGATATTTCATCATCTCTGGCAAAATGCTGAGGCACAGAAACATGGAGAAGAGGTGACTATAAAAAGATAAGGCATTAAGGAAAAGGGAGAAAGGGAGGAAATAAGAGAAAATAAAACTTCGGATTTTTAATTTTTATAAAAAACTAAAATGTATTGTAAAAATATTTGGTTTTCTTGACAGAGAAAAATAACTCTAAATTTCTATAGCTGGTAAGTCTATTTATAAGAAGAAAAACCTAGGAGATACAGTACTTGAAGCACTTTGAAAAAAATTAGGTTATATGTAGGATATTATTAAGAGAAATGAGTTTGTCCCCTTTATCCAAGACTTCTTTCCCATAATTTTTCTTTCTTTGGCCCTTTCTTTGGGTGGTGGGGGAGAAGTTCTTTCCATTTTAAAACATGTTCTGAACTTCCCCATCTTAAAAACACTCTTTAAAAGGCATATTTTAATGCTTTCTTCTCTCTTCCTCTATTCTATCTCATCTTTCACTCTCCCACAGTAGCCAAAAAACTTTGCACACATGGTGTTCATTTAGTACCTTTACGTTCTACACAAGTCCTCCCTCTTTCTGTCCCCTACTTCTTAATTCCAGCAATCTAGCTCTTAGCTCCCTACTTTACAGAAATGTATTGTATTTCCATGGTATAACATACCCTGCTTTCTGTGACAGCCACACCCATTTCTGAAACTTCATCCTCTTAATTTATCTACCATATTTTAAACTACTGGAAACCCTGATCCTTCTTAACTGCACCCCAACTTCATCTCACATTCTTTCCCTTCTCCTTTGTTGTGTCTTCCCCCAATCCAGCCCCAGAATGTCAATGTTGTCTATGCACAATTACCCCTACAGGATAGCAAAGCAGTCCCTTTGAGCCTTTGGAGACATATTTCCATTGTTTCTGATCCAGACAAAACATTTAAGGGTATGACTCTTGGCCAACATCTAGAGAATCCCTTATATCTTCACTTTGCTTTTGTTTCTGTTTTTGTTTTTTCATTTTGCTAGGATATAGACCACAATAACCCAGAAGATATCACTTACTCTGATTATTTTGATCAGCCCTGATTATTTTTTAGTTCAACTTTGTCTCCAAAAAATGGTGTGGTTTCGTAGATGGTATAGCAGATGGCTAAGAGGGAGGCATGGGACTGGGCTTTGTTTATTGTCCCATATTCTCCTTTCCCAGATTTTCGGAAACAAACAAGCCCTGAGTTCTACTCACCATCATCTATAACAAACAAATGATAGACTTCTGAAAGAACATAAAACAAAACAAACAAGCAAACAAAAAGTTTTGACAGGGAATGCCTCTGAAGAAGAGAATTGGGTAGCTGGGTGAAAGAGGAAAGAGATTTGCTTTTCACTAAAGCTGTTCTGCCTTTTGACTCGTGTGCTGTGGCCATATACTATATATTAAAACAGTAATTTGTAAATCAGAAATGCATGAAATACTTTTTGTAGACCCTGATGATGTAAAGAAATAGAAACATGTTTCCTGCTCTCAAGGAGCTTATAATATCATTAGGGAGCCATAATGTTATTTTAAAAGGAAATTATAATAGTTTATACTTGTCTCTCCGCAAACTTGCTGCCTCATATGAGCCAAGTTATTTAACTACTTTGACTTCAATTTCCTTATTTGTGGAATGGGAAAATTGAATAAAATCACCACCTATTTCATTTATTTAATCATTTATTCATTCATTTAAATTTTCTATTCAATAATTTTTATTGAGGACTGAGGACTGTATTAGTTGATGTTTACTGTGTAGCCCCCACAAAACTTAGTAGCTTAAAACAAGAACCATTTATGCCAGGCATGGCGGCTCATGCCTGTAATCCCAGCACTTTGGGAGGCCGAGGCAGGTGGATCACGAAGTCAGGGATTCAAGACTAGCCTGACCAACATGGTGAAACCCTGTCTCTACTAAAAAATACAAAAAAAAAAAAAAATTAGCTGGGCGCGGTGGCAGATGCCTGTAATCCCAGCTACTCAGGAGGCTGAGGCAGGAGAATTGCTTGAACCTGGGAGGCGGAGGTTGCAGTGAGCCGAGATCACGCCACTGCACTCCAGCCTGGGCGACAGAGCGAGACTGTCTCTAAATAAATAAATAAATAAATAAGTATGTAAATAAATCAATAAATAAATGAAAACATGAACCATTTATTTAGCTCAAAATTTGACAGAGTAGCAAGTTGGGCCAGGCTCAGCTGGGTGATTCTTCTGCTAGTCTCAGTTGGACTCACTTATATGGCTGAAGTCAGCTGTCAGTCAGCTAAGGTAGCTTTGCTTCTGGATCTTGACTAGCTATTGGCTGGGGCAACAGAGGCAACTGCACCACCTGGCTCTCATGTGGTCAGCTAGCCTGGGTTTATTCACATAGCAGCCTTGGAAAGCAGCAAGACAGCAAAGTCTCAATAAAAAAGCACTTTTCAAGTCCTGACTAGAGTCACATTAATTAATGTCCCAATGGCAAAATCAAGTACACCCCGGACTTAAGGAGTGGAGAAAGATACTCCAAATGTGATGAAAGGAGCTATGAAGTAAATTGCAAGGGGGTATGGACAACGGAGGAGAATAATTTGAGGTCATTTTTGCAATTATCACAAGCATTGTGTGCTCCAAGTCTTGACCTGCATGTAGCTTACATTGTATGCTTTCTGTTGCTGAGTTTCTACTGCCAGCAAATGATCATTATGAAAATCTGGGGTGAAATGGACCACAGGGAAATTATTGGAAGGGAAGTGATTAGGTTGACAGAGCTATTAAGTTTAAGCAAACAAAACTTTCTTGAGATAGGCTATTCTGACTGGACTTTCCAGAATGTTTGTTTTTTTGTTAAGTTTTTACCTAAGGAAATCTATCTGCAAACCCAAATGATGGCATTACTCTGTTTGGACCCCTTAAGAGTTGAAGGAAGCATGACTATTAACAGATTTCCTTTACTGGGGCTCATGGATTTTGTTTGTTTGTTTGTTTTTAACTACAGCTTGTGGGGCAATAAGCTATATGTCTCCCTGACCACTGAGAATAGCAGGAATAAATAACTAACAATGAGTCCTAAACACATGCACCGTTCCTTCTACTGTGCCAAATACTGCAGGGATGTATTGAGGCAAAATACCGTTCCTTCCATCTGAAAGCTTGGCACGCAATTAGAAAAAAAAATAACATATCCAAAGAAACATAACTAACAATACCAGGTAGCAAACTAAATGATGATGAAGATGTTGAATCCACAATTCCCTCCAAGTATACAGTTTTTCCAGGTGTTCCAGCTGTTCTTACACTATCTATTCCACATTTCCTGCTGTGTCAAGGGTCCCCTAGTAAATTACCCTGTGGAGAGGAAATGTTACTCAGCCTGACATGACTGTGCTCCATCACACTCTCTCACACACCTGCTCACAACCTCACATCCCTCACACACCTGTCATCACCCACAAGACACCCCCTCCTCTCTCCTGTGCATCAGCCTATAAATTTACATCCTCATTTTTCCAGTTAGATGAGACATTTTCTCCCAAACACACAAACCAAAATAAGAAGAAAATGTCGCTTAAAAAAGTAGTGAAAAATATGCACTAGCAAATATTCCTTCTCCACAGCAGCTCTAAAGAGAAACTAAAGTCCATTTAGATAATGATCCGAAAGGCAGAAGGCCGAGGCAGGTGGATCACCTGAGGTCGGGAGTTCAAGACCAGCCTGACCAACATGGAGAAACCCCGTCTCTACCAAAAATACAAAAATTAGCCATGCGTGGTGGTGTGTGCCTGTAATCCGAGCTACTCGGGAGGCTGAGGCAGGAGAATTGCTTGAACCTGGGAGGCAGAGGTTGCGGTGAGCCGAGATCATGCCATTGCACTCCAGCCTGGGCAACAAGAGCAAAACTCCATCTCGAACAAAAAAAAAAAAAAAGAAAAGGGAAGCTTGCCTACTAGAGAGAGCACTTTCCCAGGACTCAGAGGCCCTGAGTCCTGAAGATGATGTTGATGCTTCTCATTGTATAAACTGGAGTGTGATCATTGCAACTTTGAGTTTTCTTATCTCTCAAAGAATGTTGGCTGGGCGTGGTGGCTCACGCCTGTAATCCCAGCACTTTGGGAGGCCGAGGCAGGCAGATCACTTGAAGTCAGGAGTTCAAGACCAGCCTGGTCAACATGGTGAAACCCCGTCTCTACTAAAAGTACAAAAATTAGCCAGGGATGGTGGTGGGTGCCTGTAATCCCAGCTACACAGGAGGCTGAGGCAGGAGAATCGCTTGAACCCAGAAGGCAAAGGTTGCAGTGAGCCGAGATCACACCACTGCACTCCAGCCTGGGCAACAGAACGAGACTCCATCTCAAAAAAAAAAAAAAAAAAAAAAAAAGTAATGAATATTATATTTCCCTCATCTACCTCAGAGAGTTGTTACAATTTTCCAATGTGATAAGTATATAAAATCATTCTATAAAATGTAAACTATCACATTAGTGGGTTAACAACTCTATCTAAAATCAGGAGTAGTACTCAAAATTTATTTACTTAAACGTCCTCTTTGAGAATGTCCTCAAAGAGGACATCCAATCAGTTGGAATAAACACCAACCAGCAGTACTGGGGCTTACCCACAGACTCTCAACCTGTCTCTGCAGATCTTCATACAATATAGTAGGAGAAGTGGTATAACCAGCAAAATACCAAAATAGGTACATGGGCAAAACCATTGTGAGTCCTGCCCAAGCTCAAAAATAAATACTTGTTATGGCATGCATAGATTCCTAATGCCAATATAATTTTTAAGGACTTTGAAACCCATCCCAGCACTTTGGGGGACCAAGGCAGGAGGATCACTAAGGCCGGGAATTCAAGGCTGCAGTGAGCTATAATCATGACACTACACTGCAGCCTGAGCAACAGAGCAATACCTTGTCTCTAAGACAATAATAATAAAATATCAATTTTTAAAAAGACTTTGAAACCCCAAATTTAAAGAAAGCATGACCATAATAAAAAATTAATAAAACGAATGTGTGATCTTAATAGTCACATTTCCAAGAACTTTTAAGTATCATAGACTTCTGTATACTTTCACCTATATACCAACTAAATATCAAACGTCTACCAACTCATATGCAAGTGCCTTGCCTTTGCTGGTGCCAAATGAAGTTTTGTTCCCTTGAAGCTAATGATTAAAAAGGTTTCAGAAAAGATACCCCCCACACCAGAAGATATCATCTTTTTAAACGTTATTATAAATCAGATGTATGGCATTCTGCCCCAGTGAACTTCAGAGTAACTAACACGTGAGATGTTCTTATAGCAAATAGAAAATGTCTGAATTTAGGGCCCTGTAAACGCTTAAAAGTCCCACTGCTAGAGCTGATATATATCTAGGTATGTCTGGCAAACCGATGTGCTAGACTTGCCAAATGTCTATTTGAAAGAAGGATGAAGAAACCTCCCAGGGGAGAATACATTCCAAGGGAATAGAAGTTCAAACAGATAAGCATGGCCGATGGAGTCAGGGAAGGGACAATTCTAAGGTGGGCGTGGTGTTTGAATGGAATTTGAGTACTGCAGAAGTTGGTTGGATGGTAGATAGCTCCAGGAGGGAGAATTTGGAGTTTTCAGTTGTTAAATTTGGGGGCATAAGCTGCACTGCTTTGGTAAATCCCTGTGTGCCCACATACACGTCACCCCCATTCTACCCATCTCTGGGATCTCAAGTGTCTAGGATTACTCCCCCTCTGCAGAACGCAGCACTGTGGCACCCCGAGTAGCCGCACACAGGAGAAGCCCCAACCAGTGCCCAGCAGATGGCAGCAGTGCCCGGCTGAGGTAGCAGAGCCTATGACCCTGGCGCCCTGGTCTCCAGGGCCTGGAGGTGGGGTGCAGGGAACAGAAGCCCATGGATCTGAAAGACATAAATGATGACTGGGGATGCTGGGGCACCCCTAGGCTCGGAGTTCAGGCCTGGGGCCTTGCCTTCTCTCCATCTCCTCCTATTTTCAAGGTGCTCTCCTTAAGTGCCATGGTTTTAAAGGTCATGTCTGTGCCAACGACTTCAATTTGTATCTCTCCCTCAGAACTTTCTTCTGCACTTTAGACTCATACATCTCACTGGCTACTAGGTATCTTGGTTTGCATATCAAACTTAAAATGTGTAACACTGAGCTTCCAATCCTCTCTCTTCAATAACATCTTGAGCCTGCAGCCTTCCTTATCTCAGTCCATGGGAACATCATCCTTCCAGTTGATTGGGACAAAAATCTGACAATCATTCTCACCTCCTTTCTTTCTCCACTTCCCATTCATCAGCAAACAGTAAAATCCAGTAACTTCTTACTGTCTCCACTGCTTCTCTTTTGGTCTAAAAAAATCCTCATCTCGTCCCGGCTACTCGGGAGGCTGAGGCAGGAGAACGGCGTGAACTCGGGAGGCGGGAGCTTGCAGTGGGCCGAGATTGCGCCACTGCACTCCAGCCTGGGCGATGGAGCGAGACCCTGTCTCAAAAAAACAAAACAAACAAACAAATAAAACCCCTCATCTCTGGGCTGAATAATTTCAATACATGAAGGCATGGAATTGGAACTAAAACACTTCTCTTTCTAGTGCCAGAAAAAAAAGGGGAAGTGGGGGGCAGTAATTCAGTTTCCCTTAAGGCAGGAAATTAGAAAACTCATTAAATGAACTCTATAAGGATGTATGTGCTAAGTATGCCTCAAGTACGATTAATGAAAGCAGGATCCCTCCTATCAAAATCCTGCCCTTTCTTCCGGATTCAGCACACCTCTATCCTCATGTGCAGTCTTTCCTAACATGTGCCTGTGGGGACCTTTCCTGGCCCAGAATCCCATAGCACTGGCAGTACATGTCGTCTGTGTAGCCTTTGATTATGTTCCATGTTGGATTGTGCACTTATCTTTTCACAGGTGTTAATCTTATTGCTCCAGCTGAATAATGGGGCAGAGGCTTTGGTTTGAGCCACAGGTGGGATTCAAACATGTCTGAGCAGCCTGGCCTCTGTGATGACCAAATGGTGGGGCCACCAAATGTTATTTGCATATGAGGTTTTTGCTGAAGATTTTGGACGGGTGCGTGTGTATATATTGCCAAGTGGAGGAGGGGAATACAAGGAACGCGGGAAAGCCTTGTGTCTGACTTTAGATATTAGACCTCTACTAAGTCTTCAGATTCAGGTATGGGGAAGAGAACTGTGATATGGTTTGGCTGTGTCTGCACCCAAATCTCATCTTGAATTGTAGTTCCCATAATTCCCATGTGTTGTGGGAGGGACCTGGTGGCAGATAATTGAATCATGGGGGAGGTTTCCCTCACACTATTCTTGCAATAGTGAATAAGTCTCAGGAAACCTGATGATTTTATAAGATAAACCATTTTTCTTCATAAGAGAACCTTTTGCTTGGCTCTCATTCCCTCTTTGCCTGCTGCCATGTAAGACGTGCCTTTCTCCTTCCGCCACGATTGTGAGTCCTCTCCAGCCACATGGAACTATGAGTCCATTAAACCTCTTTTTCTTTATAAATTACCCAGTCTCAGGTATGTCTTTATCAGCAACGTGAGAACAGACTAACACAAACTGTTAGCAGAACTGACAGATTTTTATTATTACTATTATTATCATTTTTTTTTGAGCAAGCCTTGAGACCAGGGTGCTAAGCTATCCTGCTTTGATGCCCATATGATAAAGAGAAACAGACAGCAGGTAAGCCAGGCACAGCTGCCCACTTCTCAGAGAGAATCAACCTCGCAGTGGCTCAGGGAGTGCTAGAGCCTCCAAGGGCAGATTTGGACCCCATTAAAAAGGAGAATTCTGGACTCCCTCCAATGACAGATGGGTAAAAATGTTTACTAGCAGTGTATGTTGGCATTTTACGGACTTGGGCCAACTCCCTTTTGAATCCCCATTGAAAGTAGTGGGGAATTGTATGGGGGTTTACACTTCTACCTTTTTCAGGCACTTAACTTGATCTGGAGATATTTAAATTATTACTTTTACAGTGACCTCATTTTTAGCCATAGACCAGTGAAGCAGGAGGAGCCTGGACCCTAATATAAACCCCATAGGTGGAAGGCCTCAGGTGTTCACTCATCCAGAGCAACCCAACTCACTGATCTGGTGGATTCTGGTTAAACAAATTTTTCTAAAATAGGAATAAGTAACAAATGTCGATTCTGATTCAGGCATATCAGAATCCAGACTGAGAGGAACAGCTCCAATTTCTAGCAGTGGACTGGGAAAGTCACATAACCTCGCTGAACTTCATTTTCCTTACAATAAAAAGTAGTAATTCTTAGCCTGACTTCTTTGAGGGGTGTTAGGGTAATTCACTGAGATCAAGTATGTGAAAATGCTTTAAAAACTATCATGCACCAAAAACTTAAAATACTATTTTTATAACAGTTATAAGAAACACAATTCTTATGATTCTCTATCTGAAGATTAAAGATTGAGACAATAATTAGAATAATTTTTTTCTAAATTTACTTCATTAGCTAAATATTTGGAACAAAACAGAGCTAACTGGTTTTCCAATTCGCCTTGCACCACTGAAATTAAAAAGAAGGCCTAGGAAATAAGCTTTTGGCTTTATCAAGGGTTTAAGTCCATTTGCTTATTATTAAAATGTCCCACACATTGGGAGGGGCGCAGCCTCAAACACTGATGGGGAAAACATCACCATTTGAATGTGATTTTATTACTTATAAAATGAAAGACATCCCAGGTATGTTATCTTCTTCTTGCCTTCTTCAGTGATTTAATGCCAGATGATGTTTTGTATCTTTCAAACATTTTTACATCACAGAGCTTCTCGCACGCTATTGTTACTCTCCCAATTATAAAAGCTAAGAGATTTTTCTCAGTGCCTTCCTTCCCTGACACTGATGTCTTCTATAAGAGGCAGCATTTTGGAGGCTGCTATTTCTTGGGGGAAGTGATAGCTTTTGCTAATATTATTAATATCACATTTTTTATTCCCACTGAGCGTTTTTCTGACCAGATCACCAATTTGTGCAAAAATAGTCCCATAGAAATTTTAAAAGGTCTAAAATTGCACATTTCACCTTATGTTGATTTTTTATTTTTATTTCTATTTTACGTATATATAATTAATATACAATAAGATGCACAGATCTTTAAGAGATTCGGGCATTTTCACAATTGTATATGTCACATAACTAGCCAAAATGGGATAATAAAAGTATGGATATTAGAGAAATCCACCAGCAATAACGATAGCAATATTGCAGATCTGTGTTTTTCTACTGCTCTGCCTGAGCTAGCTTTTATGACTTATAGGGTGGCTTTCCAGAGTACTTGGGATTCCAGTAGATTTGTAGAGAAAAGAATCTCAACACTGATCCTGTCCAACTCTGATGTTAATTTGCAGGCTCAAATATTTAGTAGATTTGCACACATCTTTAGATATTTTCTGATTATAAAGGTAACTCGTGTTATTGAAAAAAATAGAAAATACAAGAAACATCAGAAAATGCTTTTAAAATCTAAAAAAGAAAACATAGATTATTCAAAATCAATGCAATATCAGCTTTATGTCTTTCTACCTTCTTTTAGGTACACATTTTTAGATAAAGAGATGATAGATAGCGGTGTGTGTATGTGTGTGTGTGTATTCTTAAAACAGAATCTTACTACACATACTGTTTTATGCTATTAAGCAAAAGAAGGGATTTCTGATTGAAGGTCCTGCACCCTCCGTCTAACCTGTGCATCTTTCTTCGCAGACACTGGAGCTCACTGGAGAAGACAGGCTTGTGGATCTCAGGAATCCACCTAGCCCCACACCCAGCCTCCAGAGAGGGCTGCAGCCCAAGTCCCTTGGGGGCCTGCCTGTCCAGCTTTCTGAAGGCTAGGAAGCTGACAAGGACCTTCTGAATGTCTAATTCAAGACTTGTAAAACATTGCAGGGTATTTAGATATCAGTATGCATGAGCCTCTCTCCTCTGGCCAATTATTGGGTTCCCTGTGTGAACAAATCCTTCTCAGCAGCTCCTGGCATGAGATGCTTACCGCTGATGCCATAAATCGCCTGCCTACGACGACCAGCATGGAGTTGTGTGAGTATTTCTAATCCTGTCATCGAAACTCAGTGTGATTCCGAGACTGTGCACTGAGGAATTGGGTTTTCAAGACAAAGTGACTACAATATAAACCAATAAGATGAATTTCTGTGGGCAAATTTATTCAAGGTCATTATTTTATCTGTTTCTTTGATTAATATTTTCAGAAACCTTCAAGTTCTCTATTTCCAATTTTCTCCACCCTCAGTATAAAATCATTTTTTTCACGCAAAGTAATGTTAGCTTGTTAATCTTCAAGTAACACCCTCCCCCGCCAAAAAAAAAAAAATTATATTGCCCCTCTTGAATAGCGCATAGATTCCAAGAAGGATGAAGTAAGAAGAGATCCTCTCCAGGCTATATGAAAGATAAGAGCTGTGTTCACAAAGGAAAGGGAGGGTAGAAAAGAAAAAAAAAAAGAAAGAAGAAATTGATTCCAAGTGAATTCAGCAAAAGAAAGCCTGTGATTCAGCAAAAGAAAGCCATGGACGATTATGTTTAGCTCACAGACACTCATATAACTGCAGCTGGGAAAAGACTGCTCTCTAATCTCAGCCTTCCCAGCCAGCCAGAAGCAAGGAACATTACTCATAGCTATTCTTTCTTTCTTTTTAGGAAAATCAGCTCCAAGGGAAGATCCCATGCTGTCTAAAAGAAGCTACCTATGAAGAAAAATGAGAACAATTAAGCCCTAAATCTGTACAAGAAACTTTTAACAGCTGAGACTCTAAAACGAAAATGGAAATAATGCTAATGATTATGTTTTATAGCCTCAACATGCCTTACATCTGGAAAAGTTCCAAAGCCCTCAGCAGGTTGTCACATTGATAAAAGGGGCCCCTGCTGAGACGCAGCTGCTTCTGGGGAAGAGCTGGCATCTGGAGAACAGCTGCATATCAATCCCCCACCACACGAAGGGCAGGAAAGCAAGAGAAACCGTCTGCAAGGACACTCCTTCCACCTGGAGCCTCTCTCTCTTGCTCCAAAGACTCAGAGAGGCTGAGGCTTCACATTAGCAAACTAATTGAAATGCAATCCAAGCTTAACTATCTGTAAACCTGGTGGAAGGAGATGGTTTGGACAGTCAAGCTTTCTAGCTAACTGAAGGTTTCTGACACATTAAAGCACCAACAATTGTTTAACCATTACAGATGAAAACTTTTCTAAAACGTATCGCTGGATTCCCTAACCTTCTCAATCAAATTAACTATATATTCCTAATGTTACAGCTTCAATTAATCCTGTTCCATCAACACAAAAAGACTGATGCTGGGTCAGTGGGCTTTTGTTTTTGTTAGAGAGACTTCCAAAACATACTCTATATATAACAATGTGTGTGGGGGTGCATACACACACAGACATATGCACACACACTTATACACAGAGGGAAGGAGGAAGAGAGAAATGACACTGGAGTGGAAACTGGCAGACTACATTACTAGTTTCATGCTTCTATTAACTAGCAGTGTGACTTTCAACTAGTCACCTCACTCTCTATGTCTCTATTTTCTCATAATCTGAGGGAGGGTCCCTAAGTGTTCTTTAAGATCTGATCAGATTTTAATCTTGGTGATTCTCTATGAATTATATTGCTCCAAATTCTTTCCTCTCTTCTCCCCCTTTCTCCTTCTTTCTTTTTCTTCTTCCTTCCTTTTTTTCTTTTTTTACTTTCCAACATCTAATTATTCATTATTTGAAGTGCCAAATGAACCAAGTAAATCTGAAATGCTATGCAATCCAAAAGAACTACAATGTGTAAGCTGTGGCCAACACTGAGGTGTGCATTTTCAATTAGATGTCATGGTACCTGTCCTCAAGGATCTTAAGTATCATTATAACATTATTATAACACATTTCAATAATCACATTTCCTCTACCTGATCCCTAACATTTGAGAATTACATGTGTTGAGAATTAAGAAGGCAAGAGAGTGGCCAGGCGCAGTGGCTCACACCTGTAATCGCAGCACTTCAGGAGTCCCAGTGGGGAGGATCACTTGAGTCCAGGAGTTTGAGACCAGCCCTAGCCACAAAGCAAAGCCCCTAAATACAAAGATTAGCTGGGTGTGGTGGTGTGAGATTGTAGTCCCAGCTGCTCAGGAGGCTGAGGCAGAAGGATCATTTGAGCCAAGGAAGCAGAGGTTGCAGTGAGCTGGAATTGCGCCACTGCACTCCAGCCTGGGCAACAGAGGGAGACCCCATCTTAAAAAAAAAAAAAAAAAAAAAAAAGGCAAAAGATAGCCATGGACAAAAATAACCTAAGAAGTCTTCTTGGAAGTAGTGTATGAGATATGTAAGATTTGCATTCAAAGAATGGGTTAAGAAAGATACAGTAGTTGAGGACACAATATGCACAAAGACGAGGGCATAGAAGAAACATGATCTGCACAAGGTAATACTCATCGGGCATCCAAAGCGGCCCACAGTGCTGCCATAGAGCACACTGCAGACTATATAAACTAGAAAGAACGAGCCCAGGCTAAAGGACTTAAAAACTAAAATTTTATAAAATATTTATTGAGCAAAACAAATCGGTCTTCAGGCAAGACACGCCAGTAGGACCACAGTTTGTGACCTTGTATAATTATTTCAATGGCTTGCTGTTTTATTTTTAAAAAGAGAGGTAAAAGGAATCAAAATTATATGGCCTTCATAAAAAAATAAGTCGACTTAAGGTCTTGATGAATAAAACATGACGAGGTTAATTTTAAATCCCTTTTATACTATCTGTCTTCTGAAGAATTTTCCATTGTCCTTGTACAATAATGTAAGTTATCACATTGGGGATTTTTTGCTCATCTATAAATAGCTCTTTCACCCATAACCCAGGGATGACAGCCTACTTTTATTATTTTAACATGCCTCCAACTATGAAAATGCTATTTCTAGGAAGTCCAAACTGCCACAGCAACATTGCTGTCGGTTAGTCTGAAATGCACATGTTAGGCAAATGTTGCAAGACAGAGGGCTTCTATGCTGAGCCTTATTCTGATTCAGCAAAAGAAGGAAAAACCAGAGGGAAAACTGGCACTATACTGCTAGGAAGAAATCCTGGCAGCCGATGCTAAGGGTAATTATCAAAACCAGGAGCCGGAAGGGTTTATGTTTTTTCCTCAGGGGGTCCCCGGGACTCAAGACAGGCCAAGAGATAAACCAAACCATATTGAAAAGATTTGAATTGATAAACCATGTTTACAGCTCAAGTTATCTACTTCTGTGAATTCAATTATCCCTTCTCAGATAGACGTCGTCTAAGAAAGAGGGAGCTTTAGCTATAAGAATTTCAGGATTTTCATTCTAAAGCGAGGTTATCACAAACATGGAGGTGGAAGCAGAGAACTGTAGGCTGTAAATATTGAACATTTTCAGTCATGTTAGCAAGACCCAAGCGAGGATACATTCTGAAGCTTAGTCACAGCTCACAAAACACGCCGGGGCTGGCTGTGTACCTTTGCGCCACGCTTGACTACACAAGACCCCAACAGACAAAGCTCAAGGCAGGGCCCGACACTGAGAGTGCTTGTGACTAATAATAAATATAGATTTATAAAAATCCTGAACTGCATTGTGTACTTAGGTCAGCCTCAAGAAACCAGGCATCTGACCTAGAGACCCCAGGCATCGGACTATCACGACACTGCCTGACTGCCCTAGCTCATGACATCAGTCCTCTAATAATCAGGCCTTAGGCATCTACTTGCCAGCAGCCTCAGGCTGGGAGCCTCTCTCTGGAGCCTGCCCAAAAATTAAAAAAACAAACTAATTAAAATCAAGAAGACACAAGTCATCCAGAATGAAGTTAGCTCCTTCCAGAGAGGCTGGTGTCTCTGCAAATCCTGGAGACAAGGAACCATTTTCAAGCGCAGTTCATCCAGCCCGCCCAGCTGGCTCATGCTGTCGTGATGCCGCTTTCAAATTTCCTCCCTCATAGTTTTGGGGTGAGAGTTCAGGCTCTGGAGTCACAAGGCCTGGAATAAAATCCTGATTTTGCCATTATCTAATTTTAGTGGCTCAATTTCTCTCTGTCTCAGTTTCCCCATCTGCCAAAAAAATGATATAGTACTAGTACTTTCTCCTAGCATTGTTATGATAATAATGGAAATAATGATTCCAGAGTGCTTAGAACAGGAGCTGATGTATAGTAAGTGCTCCATGATGATTGGCTATTCTTATTAACATCCTCCTTCAGGGGATTGCTAGAACTTACTCTTTTGGAGAGATTGTAGCCCACAGTGTCTCCCCATCCTGTTGTCTGCCATCCTCAATGGCAGCCCCACAAACACTGTCCTCTCCAGCATTTCATCCTCTTATGGCCAAGTGCTTCCACCCATCTGACCACTCTGCCAAGCCTCCCTTCCCTTCCAGACCTTTCAGCTGTGCCTTCTAGAATCCCTCTTTGATAGGGTAATTTTTCCCCTAATGCTACATCTACCATCATCTTGGATGATGTAAACGTGTACCAAATGGTGGTATATCCAAACAGGCAATCAAGAATTGCACATTTAAATGTGAACGAGGGCAATGCAGAGAGTCAGAATGAAGGAAATAGGCCCATCTAACAATGTAAATGAGATAGTAAAGGGCAACAGCATTGGCGTCAACTGAGAGGGGTGGGGAGGCAGGCGGACCTGGAAAGGGAACAGCCCCATCTCAACACCAGCAGGAAATGCCACAAGAGAATGCAAATTTCTAGAGAAACCAGAAATCCAGGATTTTTAAATATTGGCAATGATTTCATTTTTTGAAAGAAAGAAAGCAGAATGCAGGCCAAATCAAATAAGCTTTTGGGCCAGATTCTGTTCATGAGCAGCCACGTTGGAAACAGCTCCTGTCTCCTAGACAGCATCCTTTTTTCCTGACTTCCACACGATCCCCACGCTGTCCTCTATGTCTCTCTTCTAACCCTGTTTTCATCTGCTTAATTCTTACACATCCTTCAGATCTCATTTTAAATCTCACCCTCTAACTCCCCATTTCCTATTGCCAAGGTATTATAATTTTCTATGTATAACTTCCTGTTTGCTTATCTGAATTTTCCCCTAGGCTGTCAGCACGATAAAGACAGGCACCTTAATTGTCTTATTCACCATCCGATCCCTTCTCTCAACAGAGTGCCTGGCACTTTGGAGATGTGCAATAAGTATTTGTAAGTCAAATGAATCAAAGAATAATTTCTCAATCCCCGGTATGCACTCTCATCAAAATCCTGAGTTCCATCTGCACATTTCCTAAAGTCCATGGCTGTCCTTGCCCAGAGAGATTCTCAGCAGCTAAACCTTACATCTGTGGTGGTTTTAAAAATCTGTCCAATTCTCCCTTCAGGAGAGGTGGAGCTTAATTTTCCTCCCGTCAAGTGTGGGCTGGATTTAGTGACTTGCTTCTAACAGATAGAATGCCGCAGGAGTGTTGGCATATCACTTCAGAATTGGATTATTAAAAAAACTATGGCTCTCTTCTGGGCTCCGGCTCTGCCTCCCTCCTTCCTTCCCTCCCTCCCTCTTTCTCCTCCTTTTCCTCTCCTTCCTCCTCCTGCCCCATCCTCTCTCTTTTTGCCTCTCTTGCATCCCTTGCCCTGAGAAAAGCCATATTGTGAGCAGTTCTATGGAGACGTCCACGTGGCCAGAAACTGCAACCTCTTGCCAACAACCATGTGAGTGTGCTTAGAAGAAGCTCCCGCAGACACAGTCAAATCTTTAGATAACAGCAGTCTGGGCCGACAGCTTGACTGAAACCTCCTGAGACACCCAGAGCCACCTAACCAAGCCACTTCCTGATGCCCGACCCTGACAGACTATGCGATATAATAAATGTTTGCTGCTTTTAGCCACTTAGTCTTGGGAAAATTTGTTAGTCAGCAATAGATTGCTAGTAAAATATCACAAAACTGAATTTATTATCACCCTCCTCCCTCCCCTCCCCCACCTTCAAACATAATCCTCCTCTGAAGTCACCAGGTTCTATTAATGGCTCAGTCATTTCAAGTCACCAAGGCTTTACAAACGTGAGGTCCTTTTTGACTCTCCCCTGCTTCCTTGCACCCCATATCTAGTTAGTTATCAAATCCTGTCTATGATAATGCTGCAACATACTTTGCCCACTCCCTCCTCTCCATTTCTATCCCTATTTTTCTATTTTAGACCTTCCTTACTCTTTTCCTGGACTCCCTAACTGATTTTCCTGGCTCTGTTTATTTTTTCTCTCTCTCAAAGGCATCAGCCAGACTTCTAGGTAAATTTTTATTGCAACAGGTCATTATCCTAATCAAAAACTTTAATAGTTTTCCATTATTCATTGAATAAAATAAAAATGTCTTAGAATGATACGGTCTGGCCTTAATTTTTTTTCCGACCTTACTTTCCACTACTTAAAAAAAAATTGTACATTGTTGCTGCAAACACTTCTAGGAATAGTATTACAGCTTTGTGGTACTTCTTCCAGCTGTCTATTGCAGCTTTAAAACTACACCCAAAAACTTAGGGATTTAAGCAACCACTTTTGCTTGATCATAATTTTTGTGAGTCGGGAATTTGGGACAGGTTGTGTTGGTTTGTCTCTGATATACATGACATCAGCTGAACTAGAGGATCCACTTCTTAGGTGGTTCCTTCACTTACAGGCCCCTTTGGGGCCCCTGGATCTTTTCACATAGCATCTCAGCTTCTCCCAGCATGACATCTCAGGATAAGATAGTTGTTATCCTGTTTATATCGTGGCTAATTTCTAACTGAGAGTTTACCAAGAGTTAACATACCAACACTCAGGCCCAAACATCAGGGATTTCTATGATTTAGTCTTAGAAGTCAGGCAGCTTCACTTCTGCCACCTCTCCACGGAATGAGTTTCAGGGTCAGTCGGATTCAAAAAGAAAGGGTTATGCAAGGGTGCATTTGTGTGACGACACATGATTCTATGCAGGGGGGTCATCTTTGAAGACAAGCTACCATGGTACTATTTACACCTGGGAGCCCTTTAGATAATGAAAGAATATTGGGAGTGGGGGGTTCCAGAAAGAAAGTGTGCAGACAGCTATTAATAGACATATAAGCTGTTCTTTCCCTTAGAATTCAGAATTCAGGAACAAGAAGTGGTGAAATGCACACACACACACACACACACACACACACACACAAATGTGCTGCCACTTCTTGTTTTAACTTAGAGGGCAAGAAAGAAGCTCAAGAAATGGAATTGGATTTTAGGAAAACAAATTAAGGACAGAAATATAGCAAATTTGTCTAAAATGCACCCTGAATCCACCCACTCCCCCACTACATACACTAACTACAATTTCCTTTAGATAGTAACTTCCCAAAACTAATCCTTTTATACCCTGGATAGAAATGGACCAAATTCTTCCCACACATTGCAAATCCAAGCCTAATTGTTCCTTAATATGCAAATGAGTCCCTTCTTATCCTTCAAGTCTTCTTCTATGAACACCTCCAACTCACTATGCACATTTTCCTTCCAGGTCTACACAGAACCTACGTCTGATTCTCCCAGTAGGTCATGAATTGTTTACCACTGTTTTCTTATGAGTTAATGAAATCTGAAAAAAGTGGAACTAGAATAGCAGTAAAATACCGTCTAGGTCAGTTATTTTCTTTTCAGATGGGGACATGAAGGCACAGCATGAGGTTGAGTGGCTTGAGCAAGGTCACAGCATGAGGAAAGGAAAGGGCTGCCTGTCGCACTCCTTCTCTGATGCCCTGATCTCCACGGGGACATCAGTCTTGTCTCTCTAGGGAGGGTAAAAACTCTTCAAGCAAGGAAACATGCCTTCTCCTTTGGTCTCTGACATGGTACCTAGCAGATTTAACAGCAAGAACTCAACATATGCTTTGTGGTCTGGGGGCAGAGGGATCATTTTTCCATCGGTCTAGATATAAAATTGGTTAAAGAAGATGGTGAGTTACACTGTACACCATGTTGCTAGCATTCTCCCAGAGAGCCAACAAAGAATAAAGATTTCTGAGAATAGGATATAACAGAGTCTAAACAGCTAAAAAGTTTGTGAGCAGACCTATTCTTAAGATGTTGGAATTCTTACAGGTGAAGAGAGAGAAGCCGCCCCTGTGGGGAGTCCATGGTTGGAGGAGTGGTTGCAGTCACCAAAACACAGCTGTGCCTGGCCAACTTGGTGTCCAGAGATGAAGATTCCACAGAACATTACACAAGCATTTCACTAAAGCATTGCACACAAAGCATTACACACAAGCATTACACTAAAGTGTCTGGGAGATGCTTAGGGTAAGATGGGGAGCTAATGTCCCACATCAATGCCATTGATGTTTGTTGAGTTATAATTTGAGTTACAAAAGGTTTAACTTATGTTCTAGATGAGGCCTCAAAACCACAATTCACCCTCATCCTCTTTGATGGATGGTAATGAACGTGGCTTTCAAAATGTTTCCCCTATGCTGGGACTGCTGATTAACTTGTCCCTGCTGGTACATCGGGACTGGTGGTTTCATGCCAGCACCTGCTTTGACTGATCAATTGCCTATTGCTGCATCTGTTGAATATGGCTCCTCCTTCAGACACTTACTATGCTAGGTCTTATGTCACGGCTATTTGTGTCCTTTTGTTTATCCTATGAGAGGGAAAAACCCACTGAAGCCTGGGAGTAAGACAGCACAGCACCTTTCATGGTGCCCTACGGATTGAGGAATTCAACAAGTTTTTGTTTAGTCAAGGCAGTACAAGGTCACCTGTAGACATACTTGAGTCTAAATCTTGGATACATTGACCTAAAAGGAAGAAGCTGAGAAAAAAATTAATATAAATGGAGAGCTTATTTGGGCCAAGCTTGAAGACTGTAATCTGGGAACACTGATTCAAGTTGCTCAGAATATACATTGATTAGCAGCAGTTACAAGTGAATTTTTAAAAGCAAAAGAGGGGAACAGACAGTGGGTAGATACAAAGCTATTTGTCAGAAATTCTTATTGTTCTACAGAAATAACATTCATTAGCGGGTTGGCTATATATCGTTAAGCTATAGGGTGTGGGTTATAGTGTCTGGTGTGGCCTTAGTGGGTTAATTTATAGCTACTTGTGGCAACAGCAAGCAATTTTGAGAGATGCTCAAGCGGGAAGTAGGATGTGATTGTTGTCTCATTTTAATGTCCCTCTGGGCCTGATAATTTAAAAGGACTGATATTCCTCAGATAAAAGTTATTTTCTCAGCTCTGACATCTAGTAATGTACGTCTTTGAGCTAGTTATGGAACCTCTGCCAGTACTATTTTCATGTTTTTTTTTTTTTTTTTTTTTTTTTTGAGACAGAGTCTCGCTCTGTCGCCCAGGCTGGAGTGCAGTGGCGCGATCTCGGCTCACTGCCAGCTCCGCCTCTCAGGTTCACGCCATTCTCCTGCCTCAGCCTCCCGAGTAGCTGGGACTACAGGTGCCCACCACCACACCCGGCTAATTTTTTGTATTTTTAGTAAAGACGGGGTTTCACCGTGTTAGCCAGGATGGTCTCAATCTCCTGACTCATGATCCACCTGCCTCAGCCTCCCAAAGTGCTGGGATTACAGGCGTGAGCCACCGCGCCTGGCCTGCCAGTACTATTTTTTACTCTGAGAAATGGGGTGATACTACCTCTCTCATAAGTTAGTTGTGATTATGAAATGAGAAAAAAATGCACACAAAACACAATGAATAAAGCATAGAACACAGCAGATAAAGGCAGCTATTATTATTATTTTGGACTTGTCATCTACTCACTATGAGCTAGCCCCAATTCTCTGCCTGCACAGGTGAGCCTAATCTTGTTCTTTAATGACTGAGAGCATTTTGACTTTCTAACACCATTGCCCAGACACAGGAACAATTGTGAACTTAAAAAATCATGTCAGCATTAGTACTTCACTGGGCACACTATGAAAGGCATAGCTCACGGTCCTGACCTAAATCCACCGCTATCATGTAATGAAGGAAAACCACTTGGTATGTACTTTCTACATGAGCCCACATGCTGGCTAGATCTTTCAAGGGCTCTGTTCGCAAGACAAGCCGTGTATCCTGCCAAGAAGGAGATCAAGAAACTGAGTCAAGGGACGGACATGTTTGTTTCTCCTTGTCCCGTACTGGCTCTTTCTTGTTCCAGCAGTACAGTAAAAGCCTCGAAAATTCTGACTTTCCACCTCCTCCTACTCAAGAAGGATTTTTTTTTCCTTTTTCCTCTCTGCACCAGAAAGTCCCTGAGCAAGCTTGAGCAAATTAACTTCCTCCTCAGGCTTTTGGGAATTGAACACAGAAAGGCTCTCCTGGTTAGTTTAGTTCCTCCAGCCCGGCTCTCTGGTTGAAAACAGCTGACTTCGTGGTGTCTGCAGCAGAACTCAGCAGTGCCGGCCATACAAGGACCTCTCCAACAATGCCTTCCTCAGTGGCTTCACTTTCTTAGCCACTCCAACCCTGTAATTTTCCAGACAACTTGAGGTTTTGAAAGCAAATGAAGCAGCGAAACTGCTTCAGCTGCTAAATTCTTCCCGGATTCATTTGGAAATGACAAAAAGCTTCCATAAACCAGTGATTTGAGTTTTGCAGACGCTTTCCTTCAGTTTTCTATATGAAGTCAGTAGCTGATTCTAATTTCCTTGGAGATCAGGATCAGCTATGCACTGAGTGGATATAAATGGACGTGAAGCTCCTTTTTATTGAGCTATAACCTGATAATAATGCTTATATGGCATTTGGTACAAGGCGTTTTCACATTAAACTCATTTGATCATCATTAAACTCATTTGATCATTACAACAAGCCTGACAGGTAGGGCAGGCATTATTATCCCCATTTATAGATGCGGACACTGAGACTCAAGTCTTACCCAATGCGATCACACTAGTATCAAGCAGAGTTGAAACACAATTCAAATGTTCTGATTCCAAATGCTGTGTCCTTTCTATTATAAACAGCTACCCAGCAGGTCAGATGGAAACTTACATGCCTGTAGATGATGTGACAGTTTCATTTCTATGTCTTCATTTGTTTAAACATAATAACTCCTTCCATCTTCTCCACTGGCTCCAATTTTTTGATAATTACATACCTGGTGTTTTGTCCAAATTAGTTCCTTAAGAAAGATATTAAGTATGGTGTGCCTTTAATCTTAGATATCTTCAGACCCGTTAGCAAGCCTAATAACACACCAGCATATTCTTTCTTTCAAGCACAGAGAGGAAAACTATAATTCCTCTTAGGTAGGAATGGAAATAGTGCCTTGTCTTGACAGAGATATGCAAAAGTGGAAGACAGGAGACCAAGCAGCATCAAAACAGCTACCAAAAGAGAAGCAGCTGGGCGCAGTGTCTCACATCTCTACTCCCAGTGCTATGGGAGGCTGAGGCAGGAGGATTGCTTGAAGCCAGGGGTTCAAGACCAGCCTGGGAAACATAGCAAGACCTCTTCTCTACAAAAAAATAAAAAAATTAGTCAGGCAGGTTGGCACACCCCTGTGATCCTAGCTACTCAGGAGGCTGAGGTAGGAGGATCACTTGAGGCCAGGAGTTCCAGGATGCAGTGAACTATGATCCTGCCACTGAACTCCAGCCTGGGCAACAGGGCAAGACCACATCTCTAAATTTAAAAAAAAAAAAATCAGTGTGATTGCTGTAGGATGGAGAATCTGCCTCTCCCAGAGGAGTTAGACAGAACAATCAGATGTCCCCATAATTTTAATATGATCTGCTCTTCTGTGCCTTCGGATGTCTCCTGTGGGCCTTTTAAGGCAAGAGTACTTTGGGACCCGAACTACTCAGCTAAGTCGGTGACAACACTTTTGCCCAAAGAGGGGTGCCATTCACTGCCTCTTCCTACTTCCGCCACCCAGTCCCTGCACCAGGATACCTAAGACCAGGCAGAGGCCACAAGACATTCAGCTGACCTGTTTCCTAGGGGCCGTGAGAAAGGACACATTAATAAGCAGATGAACCACAGCCAAAATGTGACTGATGGTAACGCAAAGACATTTTGTCTCTTAAGTCAGTTAATTAATAAACCTAGGAGGGCTTTCTTCCCATTTTAAAAGCTCATAATGGTTAAGACTATGCACAAAGACTCACAAATAATCATAATGATTTTTTTAAATAATAAGCATAGGCCGGGTACGGTGGCTGACACCTGTAATCCCAGCACTTTGGGAGGCCAAGGAAGGTGGACCACAATGTCAGGAGTTCAAGACCAGCCTGTCCAACATAGTAAAACCCTGTCTCTACTAAAAACACAAAAATTAGCCAGGTATGCTGGCATGCGCCTGTAATCCCTGCTACTCTGGAGGCTGAGGCAGGACAATCACTTGAACCTGGGAGGCAGAGGTTGCAGTGAGCTGAGACCATGCCATTGCACTCCAGCCTGGGTGACAGAGTGAGACTCCACCTCAATCAATCAATCAATCAATCAATCAATAAAATAATAAACATAGTTCCCAATTGTGGAGCTCTTACTCTTCGCCAAAAACTCCTTCATGAACTTCATCTCTCGTCCTCATGGTAATCCTGAGAAGCGGACTGAGTGACCACCATTTTACAGATGAGGAAACTGAGGCCAGACTGGCTAAGTAACAAAGCAACATCTCTGATAAGTGGTAGAGCCACTCAGGAGATTGTCTGTCCTTCCACTCAGGCATATTCTTGGAAATGGGAATGAGAGCTGTGGCTTCTGTGATAATTTTAAGTCTGGTTGACTTATTCCTTGGCTCACAGAGTGATGCGGGCAGCGGTTTGTAAAGCAAAAGTATGACAGATATTCTAGATGGCCAGCCCATTAATAATCCTGGGTTTTCTTTCTAGCACAAATTTCACAACCAGTCATGTTTGGGGTGGATGGAGGGAGTCTGGCTCAGTCAGGCCACTGCTTTGACTAATTTAACTTATTTTTTCTATCAAAATGATATATCCAGTAGCCCCCATAGACACAGCACAATAAATAGATTAAAAAGATACGTTTACCCCTAAGTGCCTCCCAAGGGGCTGTTGGAGGGACATTCAATCCCCTCAACAATTTTCAAGCTTCTTTGGAAACATTTTGCCCTGTGGATATGAAACCAAAGTCATAAAATTTCTGAGTGAATGGGGAAACTGAAATACAATCTACAAGTCACCATCTGGCATCTACTTAATAATGAGGCTGGGGGAAGGGAAGAGAAGTCGAATTTTTAAAATTTTTCCCAGATAATCCAACCTGAGAGAAAACTTCTTAACCTCTGGTACCTAAACCACTGGAATTGATGGCCACTCCATCTCTGCCCAACACGTAGAAAGGTGGACAGAAGACCTTTTATTCAATCTCAACTCTGGCTCTGGTTACCAAGATGTTTCAAAAACCACCAACACTTGCCTCAACTTCTATAGCAATACAACAGAAAATTTCATTAGATTCTCCTCTCCCAACATGAAAATTCCTATATTCATAAGAACAACTGGGAGCCTATTAGGCTAAAATTCTCATATTCATATAGCCATTATCCTCCTGCTAATCTCTCTTTCAGGGAGGTGAGGCCAACAGTTACAATTGCACCATGAGTTAGCAAGTCCATGTGGTTAGTTGCTAGAGAGCTTTGTAAGGGACAAAGCTTTTTTTGAAAGGATGTTGGAGATAGCTCAAGTGAAGAAAGACAGCAGGTAAGAACAGAGATAGAGATAACTCCAGCCATAGGAATTACCAGTTTTGGAGTGCTAAGAACCAGCCAGAATAACCTGATTAGAAAACACCAAGGTAGAAGGCAAATAAGAAAGTAACCATGGAAACTTTTGCATTACTGAACTGTCTCCTGTTTGTTTCTCCCTTTTATCAGTATTCGGAGGTTTTTCAAATGCCAAGAGAAACACTGTGTGTGTTTAGCAGATTCAGGAGCAAAGCAAGGAGACAGACAACAACATGCAGTCTGTAGCAAGCAGTTCTATTCATTTCCCAGAGCTGCCATCACAAACTACCAGACACTGGGTGGCTTAAGAGAGCAGAAATGCATTCCCTCTCAGTTCTGGAGGCCAGAAGACTGAAATCAAGGCATCAGCAGGGTTGGTTCCTTCTGGGGGCTAGGAGGGAGAATCTGTTCCCTGCCTCTCTTCTGAATTCTGGTGGTTGCTGGCCACTCCAATCTCTGCTTCCAACTTCACACGGTCTTCTCCCCCCATGTGACTCTGTGTACCCTCTCCTCTTCTTATTGGAGCTCACCCTGATTCAACATGACCTCATTTCAACTCAGCTACATCTGCAAAGATCCTATTTCCAAAGAAGGTCACATTCTGAGGCTCCAGGTGGACACGAATTTGGGGAGAACACTATGTAGCCCACTACAGCAACTAAACTTTGAAACTGTTGTCTTTGTTGAATTTCACTGGGCTGTAGCCATGTGAAGGGTCACAGAGAAAATCAGAGCAGTCTTTTGGGCTCCCACAGCATTCGGTTCATATTTTGCTGGCATTCCTCATTCACTTTACGTCTTCTGCAGTGGACAAAAGCCTCCTTAATGACAAGGGCAATTTCTTATTAGATTCTGTCTCTCATTGCTTAGCACACTGCCTGGCATGTAGTGGGCACTCAGTAAGTGTTTGCCGAATGAATGCCTTTTTACAGGAACAGAATCTCTCAGCCTGGCATTATTTCACAGATACTTCTGTGTGAACCTAAAATCAGTGAGTTCTTACTACTTTGATGGCAGGGACTACTTAGATCATCAGAGTAGTTTCCTTTTTTTCCTTCAGGGAGGAAACAGGCAACATGAATCAATCCATGGGAAACACCCCTCTTGGTGGCAGAGACCAAAAATTCACGTGACTCAATTGTGGCAATAAAAGCAGGGTCCTGCAATCTTAAAGTAAGGTCTTTGTAGCCGCTTCCTTTTTTCTTCCTGGATGTCTATTTTGGGCTTTCCACTCCATTCCAGGAACTCCACCATGGCCTGCTAAATTGTGTGAAACCTCCTTGTGTTTGGTGCTAAAGCTCTCTTCCTTTTCTTGTAGGATGTTTGGGGTGGGGAAGGTAGAGGGAGGAATCACAGATGTGTCACTGGGAGAAAAACACATCTTTTATTCATGTGGGCTGAGTATTATTACGCAGGCAAAGTTAAATTCAGGAAATACAATAACTTAATTCACACCTATTTTTTGTGCTACTAGCAAGCATGTGATTTACGCTTACTCTAATCAGAGAGGAAAAAAAACAATAAGTTCCCGCTGGCACAATTCATGGCTGGAGTACGTTCTCCAGTCCTCACACCATGGATCTCTAAGCACAACATTGAGACTTTGCAGAACCTTGTGCAAAATCAAAAAATGAAGGGGAAAAAAAGCAAGTTATTGGTTCGCTCCAGGCTCAAGTGCTTCGAAATCAGCCCTAGTCTCACTCTCTAGAAGGTGATCCTTCCTAATGAGGCAAGGGATGGTTCTCACATCAAGGAAGTCAGCAAAATTGGTCTGTAGTTATTCCTATCTCTGTCTTCACCGCTCATCCAACCCTTGGCTACCTCTTCTTCCTCAACTTCCTTCCACACCATCAAAATCTGTGCTCAAATCCCATGGTCAGCCTAAGTAATAAATGACCCATAACAGTTAAAGCAATGGCTCTCAGCCTTTGCTGTGCACAGAATCATCCAGGGTGCTTGGTTTTTAATGTAGATTTCTAGCACCACCCTCAGATATTCTGATGCCACAGGTCTGTGGTGAGCCTGAGTTTCTGCACTTTTCACAGGTCCCTAAGTAGTGTCATGGACCCCATCTGATGCTTTAAATTGGGGGAATTAGCACCCCAAATCATTGCTAAAACCATACCCTTCAATTTTTGTAAACCCCACCTATTTCACAAAATAGTGAAAGAGTAAAGTTTGTCAAGAACAACCACTGATGAAAATTTGCATTTTAATAGAGCCTTGACCCAGAATTCTCTAAATCAGATCCACTTTTAGAATGGTATGGGTCATTTTAAAGCAATTTTGAGCACAGAAGCCCCCATGAAAGCATCTCTTCCTCAGGAAAGGGCACTCTATGAACTTCAAAATTCCTGACAGTACAATTCATCCACTGGATGCCAAACAATGGATTTAAATTTTTGCATATGTTATTCCATTTAATGCTCACAAGAACACGGAAAGGCCAGTCCTATGAAGCAGATGTTATAGTCCAAGTCTTAGTAGATAAAGAAATTGAGGTTCGGAAGGGTTCACTGACTTGCCCAAGGCTGTAGAGTTGGGAAGTGGCAAGATCTAGTTTTATCCCAAGTCTACTAACTTGAAGTCCACAATGTATTCCATATTAGTTGCCTCTGATCACTAGCCCAAGCATAGCTTGAAGGCAATGACCTGGGTACTAAACCAGTGAAGTGCATTCGAATCAAAATTAGGCTACTGAATAACTGATGGACTAATTTCTAGTCTGTGGCTTGTTTTCCGAAATTCAGTTCATTGGCACTGTTGCCTTTCATTTCCTTCCCCAGAATGTGACGATATAACCATCCGCACCTCTCTTCCTCCTCACATATATCACCCCTCCCCACACGTGGATTAACTCCATGCTCCTAATGACTAAACAAAGGCTGCCCGGTTCTAAAAAAAAAAAAAAAAAAAAAAGATGGCAGACAAGCCCCATAAACACTCCTTTACCCATCACTCAAGGAACATTCTAGCAGAATCCTTCAAGGATAGACTTTGGATAGTCTCTCCTTCTATCACAACTGCCATTAAAGTCACTTTAGCTTCCACTTATATGAAAGAAAAGAACCAGGAGAGAGAAGAACACAGAATATGATTTTTTTTTCCCAGAACGCCACACCTTCCAGAAGTAACCCTGATCTCAAGCAATAAAAGTAGAGATAACATTTTCAAGGTCTAGGATGGGGAAACAAGCAAAAAATAGAATGTTTAATCAATGCAAACATTCTTGGAATCTGAAACATCTGGGAGAGCCGGGGTGGGTGGCATGTGGGGAGCAGGAAAAGGGGGGAGGGGGAGACCTGACATTCTTACCCAGTGCTTATCTAAAGTAAGAGCTGAATAACCTGCTCCTAACTGCCCCCAGCAAGCCCAGGTGGTAGCTGTTAGTTTTTGTTACTAAATACAAGGCTATCTCTCACTGTGAGAAAATCCAAGACTAACTTTACCAGTTTTATATAAATTAAGGGAGGACTGTTCATGTGCTTAGGGCTGCCTGAGCCTATAATATAAGCCACAACTGTCCTCGTAGGTTTAAAATGAGATTTTTGGGCAGGTTTGTTTGTATCTTTGTTGTTTTGTTTTGCATTTCCCCTTAGAAAAACAACTATTGTACAAAATAAGGCCCCTCTGCACACTGGAAGTTTAATCCAGAGATAAAGGTTTCCCTGCAAGCTAACAGAAGTCTTGTAGGAATATCAGGGCTAAGTGAACAGACATCTACAACCTGATATATTAGTTATTCCCTCCTTCCCTGTTTTACATCACTCATCCCAAGAAGAGTCTTGATGGTGAAGTCTCGATGAAATGCAGAAGCCAACTCATATGAATTGAGTGAGGAGGATTCTTTTATGGCCCATATTCCTAAACCTGCCATCTAACATAGATCTGGTCTCAGGCCATCAAGATACAAAGTAGCTGCAACCCAAGCCCGCAGGAGAGCTGTGCTTGTCCCCATGTGTGCTGCAGCAGACTTGGCCTTCTCCACGCTGTGGAGGACTGCCTTGCTCTCTGCCTTATCACTGGACCCCAGCACAGAGTAAGTGAAAAAGAAAAATCACTGGAAGAGTAGGTGGTAAATATATGGATGGGGAATAATTATTATCACTTTCTATCCTTTCCTCTGTCTTCCTCATGCATTACCTCATTGATCTTCACCTCAATCCTAGGAAGTAGGTGTGCATGATCATCTCTGTTCCATGAAGAAAGTTCAGAGAATGCAAGTACCTTGTCCAAGGTCACATGCATACAACTGAGGTTCAAGTCCTGAAATACTTGTCACATTGCTACGGTCACACCATGCTGTGTTTCTTCCATCACACATTCTCCTTGACCTTTGCACACAAAGCCATGACCCAGAGTTCTTATTTTTGATACTCCCATCTGCAAGCCGTCCAGTCTTCACATGAAAAAGGTCATTTTCGCAATAAAGGAGGAGCAGGCCAGGCATGGTGGCTCATGCCTGTAATCCCAGCACTTTGGGAGACCGAGGCAGGTGGATCACCTGAGGTCAGGAGTTCAAGACCAGCCAGGCCAACATGGTAAAACCCTGCTCTACTAAAAATACAAAAAAAAAAATTAGCTGGGCATGGTGGCATGTGCCTGCAATCTCAGCTACTCAGGAAGCTGAGGCACAAGAATCACTTGAACCCGGGAGGCAGACACTGCAGTGAGCTGAGATAGCGCCTCTGCACTCTAGCCTGGGTAAGAGAGCAAGACTATCTCAAAAAACAAAACACAACAACAACAAAAATTAAATTAAAATAAGAAGGAGCAGCAATAACATAGGAGTTGCCATGTCTTACTCACATCTTTGCAATTAGCAGAATATCCCATACCAAGGATAATAAATATTCAGTGAATGAATAATAACATAGCTAGTGAGGTGGATACCATTAATATCACAACTTGGAGATGAAGATAGAAGCACAGCGAGGTCAGGGCCATTGCTTACCCCGTGTTTTGTCACTGCCTTGTAGAGAGACAGGTGGGTCTGTGTCTTTACCCTGAGGATCCTCATAGCCTCTGTTCAGAAAGAGCCCTGCCCCTCTGATCACTGCTGCCCACTCAGTGGCTCCGTAGCTGCCCCAAATTTTCAGCAGCCAGCAGATCATGGTGTCACTCTTATGTCCTTTTTACTGCATTTACATAAAAAGAAGAGGCTGAGAAATGGAGGAACTTTGGGGGGAAAAAAAGGTAAGTGCTTTTCTTTCACTATTGTCATTTTTATTGTTATGGACTATGGCCACAGAATGAGCTGGGAAGCAAATCTGTGTAAAATAAATCTTGTTTCCTTATTGTTTCCATTTTTAAATGTGTTATCACTATAAAAGCTCAAACTAGGCTAAAATGACAATTTGGGTATGAAAGGAGTTGGCATTTTGCCACTTCTATAGCATGTTAAGTGTGTATTACAGCAGTTGAGCTGCAGTGCCTAAAACTATAGCACTGGAGATTTGTGGAAATTTAATTCCTGTAGTTACTCTTTCCTTTATAGAGCTCCTAGCAACGCATAACTCTTTCCTGACTCCAGACATTTACAGTTCAGCCACTTTCCCAGATTCCAGGATTAGTTCCCAGAGTGGGAGACTCCTGACTCTATGCTCCAAATTCCCAGAATTTTGTTTCCTTTTTCCTTTTGTCTAGATATTTATAATGTTTGGTAGAGCTTCTATGACGACCATAGATTCACATTATGCTTAAGCTTTAAGGTTATGCAAAATGAAAAATTTACTACTTCAGCAATGAAGTCTGACACTTACATGGAATGAAGGCTAGGGTTATGCTTATTTTATTTATTTTTATTTATTTTTATTAAGATTCTCTATGTTATTAAAGACATCACTCTATGCTTAAAGGTGACAGAATATCTACACCATTTTTCTCACACAGAAGGCTTAATTAAGGTACTACCAAAGCCTAATATGTAATTCCCAAGAAATTAACTCACATGCAAATGTACAAATAAGCAGACCCCAATGCATCGCTAAATCCCCCCAGAGCACAGAATCATTTTATTTAGTACTATTAAAGGCTGAAATATCTATTAATACCATGACCACTAGATGGCTCAAGACCTATCTCCCTTAAATAGCAAGTAGACAACTAAGATTAAAAAGGAGCAATAAGGATGTCACCCTTCCCTAATTCTGAATAACTGTTTTGACTTCAACTATTCGAGTAGTACGCTAGGCATTTTATATACATTATCTCATTAAAATATTCCAGAAACTCTATAGGGTCAGCTTTAATTATTCTGATCCAAAGGTTACCTCTGTTCATATTTTAAAATATAGAAATAGTGTGTTTGGCTGTGGTATATAGCATTGAATTTTCCAGCAGGATATACAAGTAGAAATATCCCATCAGAAATATGGTCCTAAATATTGATATATACAACAACAGGATAAATCTCTCAGACATTGCATTGAGTGAAAGAAGCCAAACTACTTGCCCCCATCCTAGCCCACAACAAAATACAAGCTTCACATCCTATGTATGTGAAGTTCAAGAACAAGCAAAATTGATCTATGGTCAAAAAGTTTCAAAAATGGTGTCTGAGGCGGGTGGATCGCTTGAGCTTAGGACTTCGAGACCAACCTGGACAACATGACAAAACTCTGCCTCTACAAAAATACAAAAATTAGCCAGATATGGTGGCACGCACCTGTAGTCCTAGCTACTTGGGGGGCTGAGGTGGGAGATGGCTTGAATCTGAGAGGTTGAGGGTGCAGTGAGCTGAGATCGCACCACTGCACTCCAGCCTGGGTGACAGAGAGAAAAATAAACATAAAAAGATCTCAAAACTTGTTACCTCTGGGCGATGGCAGCAACTGAGAAGGGGCATGAGTTCACTTTCTAGGGAGCTAGATGCCTTCTGTATGTTGAACTGGGTAGAGGATACACACGAGTGCACATATGTGGAAACGTATTATGATATACACTTAAGATTAGAGCCTGCTATATACTGAATGTTTGCGTCTACCCCAAAATTCATGCCTTAAAATTCCAATTCCCAATATGATGGTATTTAAAGATGGGACCTTTGGAGATAATTAGGTCATGAGAGTGGAGCCCTCAGGATGGGATCGGTACACTTCCAGGAAGAGACGGAAGAGAGCTTGTTTCCTCTTTGTCCCACTCCGCCATGTCAGGATACACAAGAAGATGGTTATCTGAAAACCAGGAAGAGTCCTCACCAAGAACTGAATCAGCCAGCACCTTGATATTGGACTTCCCAGACTCCAGAACTATGAGAAATAAATTTCTGTTGTTTAAACAACCCAGTCTATGGCATTTTGTCAAAGCAGCCAAAACCAATCAACTTGATACACTTCACTGTAGGTAAATGTTATGTTCTACCATAAAAGGCATATATCACATGTTTTTGCTGATATGTGGGAGCTAAAAGTGTTTATTTCGTGGAAGTAGAGAATAGAATGATAGAGACCAGAGGCTTGGAAGGGTCTGTGGGTGGGAAAGGGGATGAAGAGAGGTTGGTTAATGGGTACAAACATATAGTTAGATAGAGGATATAACTTCTAATGTTTGATAGCAGAGTAGGGTAACTACGGTTAGCAACAATGTATTGTATATTTCAAAGTAGCTATCAGAGAGGTTTTTGATGTTCCCAACACAGAAATGACAAATACTCAAGGTGGGGAATCCATAAATACCCTAACTTGATCATTATATAGTATATGCATGTAACAAATACTCACATGTACCCCATAAATGTGTAAAATATTATGTATCAATTTTTTATATGTTATGTGCAACCTATCTACAAGGAAGGAAGAAGGAAAGAAGGGAAGGGAGGGGAACCAAATCAAGTCAAACCAAATCAAATCAAACTGAATCCAGGCAGCCTAATATTGAAGAATAAGGAAGACTCTGGTGACACAGATTTGGGGTCATTGGCACAGGATTAGTTGAGATTTCTTAGAGAAAGTAGAACCAACCACTATAGAACTCAACTCTATCCTGGGGCTCCCTGAAATAGTGAGGTTGACAACCTTCATAGCCAAGTGCAGCAGACTCGAGAGACCATGTGGACTAAAGAGAACATTCCATGAACACATGAGAACACTGGTCTAAGGATAGACCCCAGAGGAAAATCAGCATTTAAAGGACAGGCAGAAAAAAAGAATTATCAAAAGAGACATGTCTCACTTCAAAAGCCCAGCTCATTGACTGCCAAGCACACTGATACATAAGGAGTGCTAAGTAAATGTTGAAGAATAAATAAACTATAAAAAGGAATGAATGAACTCAACCATTATGGTTTTCACATCTGATAAAATAAATATAGTAAAATGTTTATAAAATAGCAATTGTGAGAAAGCAATTTTAAAGGTGAAATGGTAACATATGAGTCCAGGGCTTGGTTTAGAGATAGCAGGGTAGGAGGAGAAGAGAGAAGGCCTGCTGGGTGGTCAGTGTGATGGCTAATTGTATATGTTAACTTGACTGGGCTAAGGGATGCCCAGATAGCTAGTAGCACATTATTTCTGGGTGTCTGTGAAGGGTTTTTGGCATAGACTAGCATTTGAGATAGTAAGGCTAAGTAAAGAAGACTACCCTCACCAATGTGGATGGGCGTTATCCAATGCTAATCTATTGAGAGCCTAAATAAAACAAAATGGCAGAGGAAGGGTGAATTCACTCTCTCTGAACTGAGACATCCATCTTCTCCTACCCTCAGACATCTGTGCTCCTGGTTCTTGGGCCTTTGGACTTGAGCTGGGATTTGTACCATCACTGCCACCCCCACTTCACCTTCTTTTCTTGGTTCTCCAGCTTGCAAATCATGGATTGTAACCCCTTGGCCTCCATAATGATGTGAGACAATTTCTATCACATAGATATATGATGTGATATGTATGTATCACATATATCATACTATGTATCTCAAATATGCCATATATACACATATATATGGCATATATATTTTAAATATATATATCCTTTTGGTTCTGTTTCTCTAGAGAACCCTGACTAGTACAGCCAGGTCCCAATGAAGGGTAATAGCCCTTAGAAAGAGAAAGTAGACATGCGTTAAAGATAAACTCTACCTCCTTCACATTTGTCCTGAGGACAAACTCAACTTGACAAAAAGAAAAAAACTGCCTTCAAAGCAAATGAAACCACACTGGTGTTTCTGACTCATCTACTACCCTAAGTGACTTCAGCTTAAGGAGAAGAGCGCTCAATTAGGCAGTAAGAGTGTAATTTGGAGAAAATGGGATCTGGCTTCTTAGAATGGATGAGCAGGCAAGGCCCCTGGAGCAAAAGTCCGGGGGTGTTTCTTTTTTGTTTTTTTAATGGGTCACCTGGTGGGACCTGGACACTCCCATTTCTTCTTTTTCCTGGCAGAAGAGCTGCTAACTGCAGAAAGTGACGTCAGTCCAGGTGGTAATGGTGCAGCCCCAGGAGGGGCAGGATCAAATGTTGCTCAGGATGATGTTTGGCTTTCACTAACCACCTTTCATCTGGAGCATCTCCTAGCACTTTACAGGAGATTGTTAATTAGGCTTCCTGAGGCTTCGGGCAGGAACATGCATCACAGACTGCACTTACGTCCATGACTATGTAAGAAGAAATGCTCAAGGACTAATTACTTTGCATTTGTATTTATCATCTCCTTTCACACGGGATCTTAAAGCAATTTCCCAAGGTAAGTGGGGGAGTTATATGCTTTGTTCCTGGGAGGCCTATAGCCTATCTGGGGCAGAGGGTCTAGTCACAAATTATTTCTTCCTGCGTATTCAGGTTGACACAGGGGTCCCTGAGAGTTGAAAACCCAGCAGAAGGATGACTAAGTCAACGGCAAAACATTTCAAGGATGGCCTGTCTAGACAGGCCTTTAGACTCATTTAGAGATGCGCTGTCCAATGCGGCAGTGACGTGGAGCCCCTGAGAACTTAAAACATGCTAATCAAATTAAGATATGCCATAAGTATAAATATCAGACGTCAAAGAATTAGTACAAGGAAGAATGTTAAATATCCCATCAGTTATTTTTATGTTGGATACTTGTTGGAACGATTATATTGTGGATATGTGGGGTAAAATAGAATATTATAATTGTACTTATTTATTTTGATGTTTTTAATGTGGCTGCTAGAAAATGTGAAGTTGCATGTGTTTCTCACATTATATTCTATGAAATCGTGTTGATCTAGACTCCTTCTCTAATTTCAGTATTATTAACCTAGCATCTAAAGAGAAGAGAGTCTGGCTTGCAAAGTATGACACTGTCAGCAGAGCTAGAACTGGAAGCCAGGTTTCCCAACCTCCCTGGTTAATGTGCTGTCCATTATACTTCAGCAAGCAATTGACATGGTTTCTCCAACCCATCTGCTCTTGAGTTGGCACTGTGGAGTTGTTGATGGGGCTTAGGTGCCCTCACCCATAATCAGAAACACTATGATCCCCAGGCCACTCCAATGAAACATACACTCTAAGTAAAAGCAGTGTGTTTACCTAACAAACCCCTGGCAAGGCCAACACTCCCTGCACTACCCCAACCCATGCTGGCAACTAGAGTAGTGCCCAAACCTTTCCAATGGAGAAATCCTGGAGTCAGTCTTGCCTCTTCTGGTACCCTCTAGCTCAGCCAAAGTTAAAGCCCAGGAGCTCACCTGTAGCAGTAAACTTTATTTCTATCTCAAAAGTCAGTTAGGCATTGTCTCAGCAATCTAAACATTCCAGATAACATTATAGGGGACAAAAGAACCTTTCTTCCTTTAACACTATATCACTATTATATATATATCACTTCCTCTAACACCATTTCTTCCTCTAACTCATATCAGGGAATTTGCAATTGGACAATTCTCTTCCTCTGCTACTGGATTCTCTTCCTCTGGATCACCCAAAAGAAGAAAACATGGCAGAGACACTGAGCCAGAGACAGCTGCTGACTTGATGTTCCCAGATGTTCTAAATTCTACTTTAGCCACCTCAAGAGTGACCACATTTTTCTAAGTCTGCAGTTGTAGCAATCAGGTTAGTGCATGCTGCAGAATTTCAGAACCCTAGGGGAACCTGAACGAGAGCAACAGAGCCCTCTTTCATCATCAGGTGGATGTTAGCAAGGAAAACTGAAGCATTTGTATCATCAGAGCAATTGATGTCATCCATGACCAACAAGCCACTGACTGATCAATGAAGAATAGGAAGAAAACTAAGCCATATTTAAAACATCTACCTCTTAGATCCCTAGAAAAAACCCTTGAAAAAACCACCAGCAAGTGCAGGGGTTTCAACCCTTCAACCACGTGGCTTCCCCTGGGCCCATTTCTATTCTTCTGCCACTTCCAATCCCCACTTTCTAATAACCAGTGCATTTAGAGTGTTGTATTCCAGGTACCATAATGCTTTCACACACCTTATCTTACCTGTCTTCTCATTAAATACTGTAAGTCCACTTATAGAAACCTCTTATTTAATGTTAATCAGTGTGATGGTTAATACTGACTGTCAACTTGATTGGATTGAAGGATACAAAGTATTGATCCTGGGTGTATCTGTGAAAGTGTTGCCAAAAAGAGATTAACATTTGAGTCAGTTGCCTGGGGAAGGCAGATCCACCCTTAATCTGGTGGGCACAATCTCATCAGTTGCCAGCGAATATAAAGAAGGCCAAAAAAAAAAAAAAAAACCATGAAAAGGAGAAACTGGCCTAGCCTCCCAGCCTACATCTTTCTCCCATGCTGGATGCTTCCTGCTCTCAAACATCAGACTTCAAGTTCTTCAGTTTTGGGACTCGGACTGGCTTACCTTGCTCCTCAGCTTGCAGACGGCCTACTGTGGGACCTTGTGATCATGTAAGTTAATACTTAATAAAGATATATATATATATTACTTTATTATATATATTACTTTATATATATAATATATTAATATTAATATATATACACAGAACTAACAGGAGATATATCTATATCTGTATATATAGATATATCTCCTGTTAGTTCTGTGCCTCTAGAGAACCCTGACTAATACAACCAGTAACTTTGGATGCCTGAATGCCATGTCTGGTATCTCAGTCTTCTGACTACTAGACAGTAGAGGTCCTTCACACTGAACCACCACCATAACCCTCCCTTGGCCCTACCCAAGCCTGCTCTCCAGAGAAGCTTGTATTCACTCTAATCTGGAATCTTGTGCTGCCTGCACTCCATAAAACAATTGTTTTTAAAGTCGTGTCTCATTTTGAAATAGATTTCACCCCCATGGAAAGTAGTCAGGGACATAAACAGAGCATGAGTAAAATGTTTGGTTCAGGGCAAGATGGCACTCAGAGTATTTTAATGTGGTCAGGAATAGAGCATGGATTTGGAGGAATGAACAGAGCTGGAGGGTCTCTTCATGAGATGACTTTACACGGCAGGCAAGAATACATGAAGAGGAGTAAGGCCCCTGTGTGCCAGCCATGGTGAAGCTCCGCAGTGCTGGCCTAAACGCATCATCTCTGCAGGCTGCCAGGGGGTATGGACAGAACACTCATGCAATCCAAGCACAGGTTACTCAAGTATTCACAGATTTCCTTTATCTTTATTGTCTACCACGATGACAAACTCACACCTTTTGCACAGTCACAAAGACGTGACAATGTATGAGGTGGCGTACATGTGTTTTGCATAGCTCTGTCTCATTTCCAACAGCTATGAATACTGTTCTTTGGGAAGTTGTGGGCATGTGCCCTCCTCCCAGGGCCCTGGTGGATCTTTATGAGCTCAGGCTTGGATTTAGTGACCCTCTGAAGCCTTGAGTGCTCTGCATGGTTTTTGGAGAAAGCTACTGTTTTCCCCTAGGCAACACTTTAATTGCCTGCTTATAGGTACTCCCACTCTCAGGAGAGAGTTCTGATCATTTTTCATTGTCACTTCCTTTAGTTTTGGTTGGGTCTTAGAAAATTGTACTGGTTTTGCAGCAGTTTAAGAACATTAGGAAGGATTTCATCTGACTCTCTGCTTCAACTTTAGGGAAATCACTAATTGTCACAAGCCTCAATTTGCTCACCTGTAAAATGGCAATAATAATGACTATTTTATAATATTATTTTGAGTGCTCAATGAGGTAATATACTTGAAAACTTCAGATAAAACCTTTACATGCAATAAGCTTTCAATAAGTACTAACTGAGGCTGCGCATGGTGGTTCACGCCTATAATCCCAGCACTTTGGGAGGTCAAGGCAGGAGGATCACTTGAGCCCAGGAGTTCAAGATCATCCTGGGCAATATAGCGAGAACCCATATCTATAAAATAAATACATTAATTAACATGAACTGAACCTCAATCTGAAATACTCTGAATCTTTCTAACACAGAGAGTCAGTGAGAAACATGTCACTCAGTCTGATAAAAGTTTAAAATAAAAAGAAAGAGCTTTTTAAAGTTTTTTAAAAAGATATTTTCCTTCTATCAAAAAGATAGTACGTTTTCTTAGGACCTGTTATATAGCCTTACAGTGTTAAAAATGTTTTCCTAAAACCTGTCACATTTTATCCATCTTCCATTGTCATTTTTGCCTTTGTTTTCTTGAATTGAATCTTGGTTTAAAAGTAATGAGGTAAAGCACTAGGACTCATTTCCCAAATATTGAAATGTCTCTCAAATTCTCTCTACTTTTGTGCCCTTTCTTTTCCATATATATATATATATATGTATATTTCCATATATATATTGATATATGTATATTTCCATATATATTGATATATGTATATTTCCATATATATTTATATATGTATATTTCTATATTTTATATATATTTATATATATAAAAAATATACATATGTATATTTTTTTTTTCAGAGGCAGGGTCTTGCTTTGTTTTTCAGGCTGGTCTTGAACTCCCAAAGTACTAGGATTACAGGCATGAGTCACTGTTCCCAGCCTCTTCTGCCCTTTTTCTGTAACAAATTTGTGAAGCATACAGATTGTCATGTGTAAGTCAATGAACGTCTTTTTACAACAAAAGAAAAAGTGAAGTTTACAACCTCTTCATGCTCAAACACTAGACTTTCAGAGGAGCAGTGATGCGAGTCACCCACACGTCAGCATGAGCAGTTATATTTAGAATCTGAAGGAGTCTGTTGAAACTGGTAAATTTATTTGTTGGAAATGGGTCAAACTTGCTCTGCGTAAGGTGCCTATCTGCCTTCTTAATGTACAAAATTCCCCAGAATATACGGTTGCATCAAAGGCTGATGGTATAGAATTGCTGGTGATCACAGAGGCCATGACAATGCAACTTAGGGAACTGCATTTGTTTGGGGCAGGAGGAGGAGCGGGTTAGGGAGAAGCTGAAGCCATAAAGCAAAATCGCTGAAGAAGCTAGGAGGATTTTCCTCCTAAACATAGTGAAATTATTGGAGTAAAATGAGAGGGAAAAGAGAAGAAAAGACAGCATATGCTTTAGCTGTGACAGTGTATTATGAAGTATTACCATAAAACATAATATTTATTGCAGTCCCCCACTTAGAAATCTGGGAATCAGGCTGGGAGCAGTGGCTCACGCCTGTAATTCTGGCACTTTGGGAGGCCAAGGCAGGTGGATCACCCGAGGTCAGGAATTCGAGACCAGCCGGACCAATGTGGTGAAACCCCATCTCTACTAAAAATACAAAAATTAGCTGGGTGTGGTGGCACATGCCTGTAATTCCAGCTACTTGGGAGGCTGAGGCATGAGCATCGCTTCAATCCGGGAGGTGGAGGTTGCAGTGAGTCAAGATCGCGCCATTGCACTCCAGTCTGGGCAAAAAGAGCGAAACTCCATCTCAAAAAAAAAAAAGTGAGAAATCTGGGAATCAGAAAAGGTATGGGACTCACCCAGTACATCTCCATGAATGGCTAGGCCTCAGGATGCCCCCTCTCATCCGGGACAATGAGCAAGGTGAACGCCTGAAGTTATGGAATTGGAACTTGGTTTTGATCTAGGGATCTTCTGTTTTCTGAGCCTTGAGGAACACTGAATGAAAAAGCTCACCAGCAGAACTCATGTTGAACAATGTTCAACATGTCTGTGAGCTAAGATCACATGGTTTTGTTTGTGGAAGGGAGTGCAGAGGACGGTTGTAAAGAGAGGTGTTAATGAATTTGCCCTTTCTTCTAGAAGAGAGAATAGAATACTGTCATCTTTGAGAAAGACAAGAGCAGGGATACTGGGGGCATTAACCAAAGAGCGCTGGCATAACATCAGCAGAACTCCCAGCAACAGAACACAGAGGACAAAGGCAATAGCTAGGGGGAGACTTGGCAGGGAAGGTGGTGACAGGTGACAGTTGGGATGGAAAAGCCCCAGCGTGCTGCACTGCAGAACCAACCTACAGGCCCTGCACTGGCGGTGGCAATAGTAAACCCACTAGCAGGAGGAGCTCCAACTAGCAGACCAAGGACGCTACAAAGCTTACATCAGGCATGATACAGATGCTGCCAAAAAGTCTCAGTGGGACAGGACTTAAGGAAGAAATTGCCTGGGCACAATGTGCTTTGTTGGTGTGTGCAGAATTTTCTCCTACTGCCTTCTGAATTACAGTGAGTTCTTTGTTTTCCTCTTTAAAGTAGTTAAAGGAATAGCTTGGCCTCTTTCCACTCTCCTTCTAGTTCCCTCTCCAAATTCCAAATTTAGTCATTTTGGCATCTAGTTACTCTTTCAACATTTCCTCTCTACTGATATGTAATGCACCAGTAGTATTAAGTTCTCTTAAACAAATTTTTCATTCTAATTCATTCTTTTTTTACTCTTTGTATTTGAAATAGATAATTGCCTTATCATCAATGTTATTTGGTCAGTAATATTAACCTGTGTGAGGGGGTCCCATGAGTTAGAATAAAGGTCTAAAGAGACAAATATCACATAGGTCTAGGTGTCTAGCGATTTTTTAATTGCAATTAGCATAGACTTTGACTGACCTAATGAAGGAAAGAAAAATGTATTGCACGAATAAAGTTCCTAGCATGTAGAGAAATACAGAGAAATAATTGTACAAACAAAAAGATGTGGCTCAGAGGCCCACATCCGTGAGGATCGATGGGTAGGTACTATCATCAAGTGCTTCTCCTGAACATGAGAAATAGAGAAGAGATCTTCCCCAGATGAAAGGGTATGCTATTGGCCACGCGTGGTGGCTCACACCTGTAATCTCAGCACTTTGAGAGGCTGAGGCGGGCGGAACACAAGGTCAAGAGATCGAGACCATCCTGGCTAACACGATGAAACCCCGTCTCTACTAAAAATACAAAAAATTAGCCGGGCGTGGTGGCGGGCGCCTGTAGTCTCAGCTACTCAGGAGGCTGAGGCAGAAGAATGGCGTGAACCCGGGAGGCGGAGCTTGCAGTGAGCCGAGATTGTGCCACTGCACTCCAGCCTGGGCGACAGAGCGAGACTCTGTCTCAAAAAAAGAAAAAAAAAAAGGGGGGGGGGATGCTATTATCAGAAAATAACAAAAAGGATTCAGGCAGACATAAACCATGCAATAACACAATTTAGTAAAATCCAAACACCTAATTGTACAGATTTTGCTCTATAAAATGTGTTGTATTCATTCTCCTAGCTACCTACACCAGATGAGTTAGAAGAAAAGCTCAAAGCGTTTATCTCTTACAGCCTAGATTTGAAAAATTATGCTGAGTAGCCATCTCCCCTTTCCATCTCCTTTGGACTTTGTCTCACTCTTATTAGTTTTCCAGAAGGACACAGTTCATAGCCTGTTTTAAAAAAGTAGTTCAGTGCAGTATCAAAATACTGCTCTCAAAAATAGAAAAATAGAGAAGTAATTTCAATTTCTTTTGATTTTCCCTTCAGTTGTCCCCTCTCCCTATAAATCCAGTAATATTCAACCTGGGGAGGTAGAAAATAGATATCTATCTCATCCTGTACAATGAAGAATTTTTACACTTTTGCTCAATCTTTTATTATTTTATATATATATATATATATATTTTTTTTTTTTTTTGAGATGGAGTTTTACTCTTGTTGCCCAGGCTGGAGTGCAATGGCGTGATCTCAGCTCCCTGCAACCTCCACCTCCTGGGTTCAAGTGGTTCTCCTGCCTCAGCCTCCCTAGTAGCTGGGATTACAGGTGCGTGCCATCACACCAGGCTAATTTTGTATTTTTAGTAGAGACGAGGTTTCTCCATGTTGGTCAGGTTGGTCTCGAACTCCCAGCCTCAGATGATCCACCGACCTCAAATGATCCACCCACTTCAGCTTCTCAAAGTGCTGGGATTACAGGCATGAGCCACAGGGCCTGGACTCAATATTTTATTTCCTATTATATTTTATTTCCTTTTAGTTCCTAATATCTCTATTTCTCTTTATTCAATAAGTCTTAATATTGACTATGAATATTTTCTGAAAAAGTCGAGGCAAGAAAATAAATAAGTTGAATCTAATGGTGTCTTTGTTTCCACTGACCATTTTTATATTCCAGAGGAGATGAAAATCAGTATCCAGAATTGCTGCTATATATAATCTAAAATGTCCAGTTTTAACTAAAAATTATGAGATGCAAATGTGACTTCACACATAGGAATAAAAGCAAGCAACAGAAATTGTCTGTGAGAAGGCCTAAATATCTAACTTAACAGGCAGCACTTCAAAGCAAGTATTAGAAATATGTTCAAAGGACTAAACAAAGTTATAATTAAATAATTAAAGTATAATAATGTCTAATTAAAATACAGAATATCAATATAAGATAAATGTTATTTTAAAAAAACCAATGGACATTCCAGAGCTAAAAAAAAAATAACAGAAATAAAAAATGTCTCACTGGAGTATATCTAAAGTGGCAGAAGTATATCTAAAGTGGCAGTATATCTAAAGTGGCAGTATATCTAAGCAGTATATCTAAAGTGGCAGAAGAAAAAATTAAAAAAAAAGAATCAGAAAACTTCAAAATAGATCAATGGAGACTATGCAACCTAAAAAGAGAGAAAAAAAAGAGTAAAGCCAAATGAACATAGCCTCAGACAAACATTTTGGGCAACATTAAACTTTCAAACATATACGAAACGGGAGTACCAGAAAGGAGAAGGAAAAAATATTTAAAGAAATAATGCCTGAAAACCTTATAAATTTAACAATAAACATTAATTTACACATCCTAAAAGCTCAATGAACTCAAAGTAGGATAGATGCAACACCATAATCAATTGTTGAAAGACGAAGAGAAAACCTTGAAAACAGCAACGGAAAATTAACTCATTACATAGGAAGAGATCCCAGTGAGACTTACAGCTGACTTCTCATCACAGACAATGGAGATCAGAAGTCAGCAGGATGACATACTCAAAGTACTGAGGACAAAAGTCAGTTAAAATATATAGCAGAACTATCTTTCAAAACTTAAGGCAAAAATAAAGATATTCCTATAGTACAAAAATTGAGGGAATTTATTGTCAGCAGACCTTCCTTGTAAAAAGTACTCAAAGGTTTTCAGGCTGAAGAGAAGTAATATTAGACAGTGACTTGAATCGATGTATGTGGATGGGAGGATAACAAAAGAGCAACAATATAAAAAGTGTGAACACAATATAAACTCATTAGACCTGAAAAACAACTATAGATCATTCTACCCAGCAACAGTGGAATATATTCTTCTTTAGCATATATGGAATATTTTTCAGCATCAACCCTATTATAGACTATAAAACAAGCCATAATATATTCAAAGGAATTTAAATCATGCAAAGTATGTTTTCCAAATACAAGACAATGACGTTTGGAATAACAGAAGAAAAACTGAGAAATGTTTGAACATGTGGATGTTGAACAGCACTCTCTTAAATAACCAAAGAAAAAATCAAAAGGGAAATAAGAAAATGATTTGAGACCAATGAAATCAAAAGTCCAACAGACTAAAATTTATGTGATGTAGCCAATACAATTCTTGGAGAAAAATTTATGGTTGTAAATGCATAAATTTTTTAAAAAAGAAAGATCTCAAATCAATAGCCTAATTTTTGAATAAAGAAACTAGAAAATAGGAACAAATTAGGCTCAAAGCAAAAAGAAAGAAAATAAAAAATATGTGTGGAAATAAATAAAATAGAAAATAGAAAAATAGGCCAGGTGCGGTGGCTCATGCCTGTAATCCCAGCACTTTGGGAGGCCAAAGCAGGCAGACACCTGAGGTCAGGAATTCGAGACCAGCCTGGCCAACATGGTGAAACTGTGTCTCTACTAAAAAGAAAAAAAAATACAAAAATTAGCTGGGCGTGGTGGCAGGAGCTGTAATCCCAGCTCCTCGGGAGGCTGATGCAGGAGAATCGCTTGAACCCGGGAGGTGGAGGTTGCAGTGAGCCGAGATCATGCCATTGCACTTCAGCCTGGGTGACAAGAGTAAGACTTCATCTCAAAAAAAAAAAAAAAAATAGAAAAAAAAATCAATAAAACCAAAAGTTAGTTCTTTGAAAATAGAAACAAGATTAACAAACTTTTAGTTAGACTGAACAAGAAAAAGAGAAAACTAACATTATGAAAATCAGGAATAAAAGAGAGTGTTTCACTACAAACCTTCCACAAACAAAAGGAATTATAAGAGAATGATACAAAAAATTAATGTTACTGTTTGACAATCAGTAATTATTGAACAATTAACGTACGTTAACAAATTAAACAACTTAGATGAAATGGACAATTTTTTTTTTAGACGGAGTCTTGCTCTGTCACCCAGGCTGGAGTGCAATGGCACAATCTCAGCTCACTGCAACCTCTGTCTCCCAGGTTCAATGGATTCTCCTGCCTCAGCCTCCCGAGTAGCTGGGATTAGAGACACACACCACCATGCCCAGCTAATTTTTATTTTTAGTAGAGACGGGGTTTCACCATGTTGGCCAGGCTGGTCTCAATCTCATGACCTCAAGTGATCCACCTGCCTCAGCCTCCCAAAGTGCTGAGATAATAGGCGTGAACCACCGGGCCCAGCCGGAAATGGACAAATTCTTAGGCAAAAGTTACAGAAATCATCAAGAATAAATAGAAAATCTGAATGGACCTATAACAATCACCACAAGATTTAATCAATAATTTATAAACTTCCCACAAAGAAAAGCCTAGGCCCAGGTGGAATCACTGGTAAATTCTACAGAACATGTAAAGAAGAATGAAAATCAACCCCACAAACTCATTCAGAAAAAAGTTGAAGAAAAACTTCTCAACACATTCTATGACACCAAAACCAAAGACAACACAAAAAAACTAAAGACCAATATCAGTTATGAATATAGATACCAAAATCTCAACAAAATACTAACAAATTCAAAATTGAAATCAAATGTATTAAAATGTAAAAAGGATTATCTACCATGACCCAGTAGGATTTATCCTAGGAATACAAATTTGGTTAAACATCTGAAAACCAACCAATGTAATACGTGATATTAATAGAATAAAGGAAAAAATCTACATCATCACCTCAGTAGACACAGAAAAAGCATTTAACACAATCCAGCAATCTTTAATGATAAAAATATTCAATAGATTAAGAATAGAATAGAACTCCTCAACCTAATCAAGGGCATCTATAAAAAACCTATAGCTAACATAATGCTAGCACTGAAAGACTGAATTTTTCTCCCCTAAGATTAGAGACAATACAAGGATGTCTGCTCACCATTTTTATTCAACATTATACTCGAGGCTTTTGGATAGGTGATTAGGCAATGGAAAGAACATTTTAAAAATCCAGATTGGAAAGGAAGAAGTAAAATTATTTATATTTGCAAATGGCATGACCTTGCACATGGGAAACCGAATGGAATACACTAAAAAACTATTGAAATATGTTTACATTGAAATATGTTCAGCAAGTTTGAAGAATAGAAAATCAACATACAAAAGTCAATTGTATTTCTGTAAACTAGCAATAAACAATCTAAAATAAAAGTTAAAAACAATTCCATATACAATAGAATCAAATAGAATACTTAAAAATAAATTGAAAAAAGGTGGAAGAATTTTACACTGAAAACTACAAAACATTGCTGAAAGAAATTAAAGATTTAAATAAGTGCAAAGAAATCCCATGTTTATGGATCAGAAGACTTAATATTGTTAGGATGGTAATATTTCCCAATAGATGTACAAATTTAATACAATTCCTTTAAAATTCCAGCTGTCCAGAGCAATCAGACATGAGAAAGAAATAAAGGTTATTCAATTTGGAAAAAAGGAAGTCAAACTACCTCTGTTTGCTGATGATACGATTATATACCTAGAAAACCCTAAAAACACCTCCAAAAGATGCCTCAAATTGATAAATGAATTCAGTAAAGTCTCAGGTTATGAAATCAATTTACATAAATCAATAACACTGCCTTACACGAACAACGACCAAGCTGAGAATCAAATCAAGAACATCCCTTTCACAATAGCTGAAAAAAACAAACAAACAAAAACTTAACCAACGAGGTGAAAGATCTCTATAAGGAAGACTACCAAACTCTGCTAAAACAAATCATATATGACACAAACAAATGGAAATACATCCCATGATCATGGATTGGAAGAATCAATATCATGAAAATGACCATACTGCCCAAAGCAATCTACAGATGCAATGCAATTCCTATAAAAATACCAATATCATTTTTCACAAATTAGAAAAAACAATCATAAAATTCATGTGGAACCAAAAAGGAGCCCAAATAGCCAAAGCAATCCTGAACAAAAAGAACAAACCTTGAGGCGTCACATTACCTGACTTCAAATTACACTACCAGGCTATAGTAAGCAAAACAGCATGGTGCTTGTTATAAAAGTAGATACATAGATCAATGGAACAGAATAGAGAACCCAGAAAGAAAGCCAAATACTTCCAACCAACAGATCTTTGACAAAGCATACAAAAACATAAATTGGAGAAAAGACACCCTATTCAATAAATGGTGCTGGGAAAACTGAACAGCCACAGGTAGAAGAATGAACTGGATCCCCATTTTTCATCATATACAAAAGTCAACTCAAGATGGATTAAAGGCTTAAATCTAAAACCTGAAACCATAAAAATTTTACAAAAAAACCTAGGAATAACTCTTCTGTACATTGGCCTAGGCAAAGAATTTATGATCAAGACCCCAAAAGCAAATGCAATAAAAACAAAATTAAATAAATGAGACCTAACAAAGCTAAAAAGTTTCTGCATAGCAAAAGAAATAATCACTAGAGTTAACAGACAACCCACAGAATGGGAGAGAACGTTTGCAAACTATGCGTCTGACAAAGGACTAATACCTAGAATCTACAAGCAACTCAAATCAGCAAGGAAAAAGCAGATAATCCCTTCAAAAAGTAGGCAAATGACATGAATAAACACATCTCAAAATAAAATAAACAAATGGCCAATATATGAAAAAATGCTCAACATCACTAATCATCAGAGAAATGCACATTAAAATCACAATGAAATACTACCTTACTGCAGCCAGAAGGGCCATTATTAAAAAGTCAAAGACAATATATGTTGGCATGGATCTGGTGAAAAGGGAATGCTTATATACTGCTGGTGGGAATGCAAATTAGTACAACCTCTATAAAAAACAGTATGGAGATTTCTCAAAAAACTAAAAGTAGATCTACCATTTGATCCAGCAATCCCACTACTGGGTATCTCCCCAAGGGAAAAGAAGTCATTGTTTCAAAAAGACACCTGCATGTAAATGTTTATTGCAGCACAATACACAATTGCAAAGATATGGAATCAACCTAAGTGCCCATCAACCAGTGAGTGGATAAAGAAAATGTTGTATGAATACACAATGGAATGCTACTCAGGCATAAAAAAGAATGAAATGTCTTTTGCAGCAACTTAGATAAGGGACATTATTCTAAGTGAAGTAACTCAAAAATGGAAAACCAAATACTGGATGTTCCCACTTATAACTGGGTGCTAAGCTATGGGTATGCAAAGGCATACAGAGTGGTATAATGGACATTGGAGACTCAGAAGAGGGGAAGGTGGGAGGAAGGAGAGACATAAAAAACTACATATTGGGTACAATGTACACCACCCAGGTGACAGGTACACTAAAATCCTAGACTTCACCACTATACAATTCATCTATGTAACCAAAAACCACTTGTATCCCCAAATCTATTGAAATATATACATATTTCAATAGCTTCAATAAATATTTTTATTATGTATTTATATATTTTTATATTTATCTATAAAATATATATAATAGAAATGAAAATAAAATTCCAGCTGTCTTCTTTGTAGAAATAGACAAGCAGATCCTAAATTTTATGGAAATGCAGAAACCCAGAGTAACCAAAACAATATTTAAAAATAAGAAAAAATGTTGAAAGACTCACACTTCCTTATTTCAAATGTACTCTAAAGTTATAGTAATCAAAACAGTGGGTTATTGGCATAAAGATAAACATATAGGCCAATGAAATAGATTTAAGAGTCCAGAAATAAAGCTTTACATTTATGGTTTGTTTATTTTCAACAAGAATGCTGAGATAATTCAATGGGGAAAGAAGTCTTTTCAGCAAATAGTGTTAGCACAACTGACTGAAGACAAAAGAATGAAGCAGACTTCTTTATTTAACTCCATACAGAAAAATTAACTCAAATGAGTCACATCAAAATGTAAGAACTATACCAGTAAAACTGTTAGAATAAAGTATAGGAGTAAATCTTTGTGACCTTGGATTAGACAATGATTTCTTAGAAGATAAGATGCCAAAAGCACAAGCAACAAAAGAAAAACAGATTTAATATCATCAAAATTAAGACCATTTGGGCTACAAAGGATACCATCAAAAAGACAACCCACAGGATAGATGAAAACATTTGTAAATCATGTACCTGATAAGGGACTTACATCCAGAATATACAATGAACTCTTAATACTCAATAATAAAAATACAACTAAATCATTAAAAAATGAGCAAATAATCTGAATAAACATTACTCCAAAGAAGATATGAAAATGGCCAATAAGCCCATGAAAAATTTTCAAAACAAAACAAAAATTAGCCACTTAGGCAAATGCAACTCAAAACCACAAGAGATAATAAATAGTCACACTAACTACTATTAACTATTATCATAAACATATTATAAAAACCAGTATTGTCAAGAATGTGGAGAGATTAGAACTCTCATCCATGGCTGATAAGAATGTAAAAGGTACAGCCAATCTGGAAAACAGTTTGGAAGTTCTTCAAAATGTTAAATATACCAGTAACCATTTGACCCAGTCATATACACCGGAAAAATGAAAACAGATGTCCACACAAAAAACTTGTATATGAATGCTCACAGCAAATTTATTCACAGCCCAGAACTGAAAACAATCCAAATTTCCTTCAACCAATGAGTGAATAAATAAAATGTGGTATGCCCAAATAGTGCAACTTCCTTCAGCAATAAAAAGGAATGAATTATAGACATATACTACAACATGGATGAACTTTATGTTAAGTGAAAGAAGCTGGTCACAAAAGACCACATATTGTGTGATTTCTCTTAAATAAAATGTCCAGAATAGACAAACCTATACAACAGACAAATCTATACAACAGAAAATAGATTAGTGGTTAACTAGGGCCTGGGGGAGATAAAGGAAAATTGGATGATGGAATGATGAAAATGTTCTAAAATTAGATTGTGGCTGTATTCACCTGCCCAGGCTGCCATAATAAAATACTACAGACTAGGTGGATAAGCAACAGACATTTATTCTCTGACATTTCTGGAAGCCAGATATCCAACATCAAGGTGTCAGTAGGTTTGGTTTCTCCTGACGCCTCCGTGGCTTGCAGATGGCTGTCCTCTCAGTCTGTATACTGACTGTTTCTAAATCTCCTCTTTTTATGGGGATACCAGTTGGACTAGGATACATCCTCATCCATATTCATCTATCCATACTAGATTAGGGTGTATCCATATGACCTAATTTTACCTTAATTACCTCCCTAAGGGCCCTATTTCCAAATACAGTCACATTTTGAGGTACTGGAGCATTAGGATTTTAATACGTGAATGGCGGGGACATGATTCAGCCCATAGCAGTGGTGATGGTTGCACAACTCTGTGAATATATTAATACTCATTGAGTCATGTCATCAATTAATTAATTTTTATTTTTATTTTATTTATTTATTTATTTATTTTTGAGATACAGTCTCACTCTGTCACCCAGGCTGGAGTGCAGTGGCACAATCTCGGCTCACTGCAACCTCTGCCTCCTGGGTTCAAGCGATCCTCCCACCTCAGCCTTCCAAGTAGCTGGGATCACAAGCATGCTCCAACACCCTCAGCTAATTTTTGTAATTTTTGTAGAGACGGGGTTTCATCACGTTGATCAGGCTGGTCTCAAACTCCTGACCTCAAGTGATCCATCCACCTCAGCCTCCCAAAATCCTGGGATTACAGGCATGAGCCATTGCACCCAGCCGAGTTCTGTCACTTAAATGGGTGACATTTATGGTATGTGAATTATGTCTCAATAAAGCAATTGTTTAAAAAAGAAAAATAGGGTGAAAAAGAAAAACAGGGGAGTTATTTAGAATTTTCAAACAGGAAAGTGAAATGATACAATCTGAGTTGTATAAAAATTGCTCTGAGTTTGAGACCAGCCTGGGCAACATGATGAGACCTCATCTCTATAACAATTTAAAAAAAAATTAGCTGAGCATGGTGACGTGCCTTGTAGTACCAGCTACTTGGGAGGCCAAGGAGTTTTAGGCTGCAATGAGCTATGAATCATGCCACTGCACTCTACCCTGAGCAAAAGAAAGACATCCATCCTGGCTGGGAGCAGTGGCTTACACCTGTAATCCCAGCACTTTGGGAGGCCAAGGTGGGCAGATTACGAGGTCATGAGATCAAGACCATCCTGGCTAACACGGTGAAACCCTGTCTCTACTAAAAATACAAAAAATTAGCTGGGCGTGGTGGCAGGCACCTGTAGTCCTAGCTACTCAGGAGGCTGAGGCAGGAGAATGGCGTGAACCTGGGAGGTGGAGCTTGCAGTAAGCCAAGATTGTGCCACTGCACTCCAGCCTGGATGACAGAGCGAGACTCCGTCTCAAAAATAAAATAAAATAAAATAAAATAAAATAAAATAAAATAAAATACAAAAACTAAAAAAAAGAAAGACATCCATCCTGTCTCAGAAAAGAAAAAAAAAATTGCTCTGGTAGCCACATCTAAGATGAAAATACAAGGAGGCTGGAGGCTGGAGATAAAATGACCAATTAGATAACTGCAGTAATCCAAGTCGAGCTTCTGGGGATCTCAACTAGCCCAGAGGCACTAAAATAAAAAAGAAGGGAGCAGGTATGAGTGACTTTACCTGGTTAGGTACAACCTCTCCCAGAAAACAACTCTAAGGCCAAGTTTCAAGGCTGACCCCACAGGCTGGTTGCACAAACAGCTCGTGTGATATGCTGGATTCTGAGAAGTCTTGCAGAACTTTGAAGGTCTGACCAACTGCAATGCCTGGAACTTCCATATTGCTTTGTTTTGAATTGTGTCTAAAGCTTTGAGTGAAATAAAGCCTTAGCGTCTGTGTTACTCAGAAGGAGAAGCCCATGAGATCCCTACCATTGACTGACATATTCAGCACAGAAAATTCTGAGGGATCTGTTGGTCACCTGGCAGGCTGTGAGGGCTGCAACAGTCTTCTGGGATCTGTTGAGGGGAAGGCTAGAATGACAGAGGTAGAGCATGCATGATGATGCACTTGCAAGGGCTGTCCTATGAGGACACCAGGAGGGACAGAGCTTGCACAATTCAGCGAGCAGATAGGAAAGGGAATGGAAACGATGTCCCCAGGCCTGGCACAGTACTATATTGGGATATAGGTGCAACCTTGACTATTAAGGAAAGAGCTTCCTATGTTTATTTCCCATAGTTTGTTGCTTAGAACTTGGTTTTCTAATACTATTCACTGCTATAGCAAGGGTCACTGGAATCAAATGCAACCAACTTGAATAAAAGTATATACATAAGATGACGTTCACGCTGTGTGTGCAAGTATGTGTGAGTATACACCCCCCCACACACACACACACACGCACCACACAACTGCTCCAAGAAAAATTGGAGAAGCGCATTGCATCTCTGGGGCCCTAGTCTCCCTCACTGTCCCTGTTCTTTCCTCTGTAAAGAGCTCAGCTCCCTCAGCTCTTCTACTCTTTCTCCCTCTCACAATCTATTTATTTAAAAAACTGGATTCTAGTCATTGAAAGAGAGAATTCATCCCAGAGTAATGAAAAATAGAAGGAGATTCAACCCTTGACGTTCTCCATTTGATCTAGCGGCTCTAGCACTGACCAAGTGTGTAAACTGGGGGACCTGTTGTACTGTCTCTGTCTCTCAGTTTCTTCATTTAAAAAGTGAATATAGCAGCATTACCTGCTTTCCAGGGTTGGTATGAAGTTCTAATGAAACAATATATATGAAGGTGCATGCAAGGCTCTAAATAAATATGAGGCATTATTATGACTTTTCCCTAGGATGTTAACACTTTAAAACCTTTATGACTTTGTGGCATGGAAGTTTAGCTTAGAGCCAGGAGGTGAAAGAATATTAGGGGTGAGGGTAGGGGGTCTCCCAGATTCCTGGCAATCACGCATAGGCAAATGCCTCCTTTCTGCTTACATATAAGATCTCACCACAAACACACACAGGAGGTGTGCGCGCACAAATGTTTGTAATCCCTAAAGCTACTCCAAACTTCGTATTCAAGTCTAAGTTGTGCATTTTCATACCATTCTGGCTGAACTCAGAAGTGGAAAATTCCAGGAAAGAAAGTTCTCTCCTCTGCTGCCCAATTTTGGGTTTGATAAGCTGGACAGACCAGGATGAGTGTTTCATTTGTTTTGCACCATCTGGTGGACTGTGCCTGGAGGTACAGGGTCTGCTCTGAAATTGGCAGAGCTAAAGAACCTTCCAGTCCCTGCCCTGGGGTAGAAAGAGAGAGAATATGGCCTAGGGTGGTTGGCAGGCTAGTCCGCATCAATAAGAAAGACAGCTTCTGCAGAACACAACACAATAGACTCCAACTCCTTGTTCCCGAAAAATGGGTAAGAATCTACAAGGAACTGAATGGGCCCCTCCTTTCCCAGCACTCCAAAAGGTTGGCAACTACGTTACAGATGATAGTTCTCAGTCTGGTTCTCCTTACCAGAATGCGAACATCTTGAGACTAGGACTAATGTTATCAACATCTCTGCACTATCTTCTTCCCCTCCCACTCCCACCTCTACACACACACACACACGCCCTCAAACTGGACTGAAAATAGTGCTCCAGTAAATGCTTACAGTGACACTGAACTAAGCAGGCAAGGACCTCTTAAACCTCAAAAGAGAGTGAAATTTTAGATAAGGCTCTACAGCACCCTGAGACTGTGCAATCTTGGAGTACACACTGGTTTTCCTTGCTCCTTTTCCAACCCCAGTGAAATGAGAGCACTGACAGATGACATGTGCTCTAAGCAAGAAGTGTTCATCAGAATCCAATGGATCCACCAGCTGACACTTACTGAGCTCATTCCCTGTGCTGAGCCTTGCTGAAGGCAAATGGGTAGGAGGAGAGAGGGAAACAAGACCATCGTGGTTCATGCCTTCAAAGAGTTCATAGGCTTAATCAGGCCATCTTGTCAGATGTACTTGCAGAATGAATAAACAAGCCAGCAACTGTGAATAACAAATGGGTTACTCCACCATAACCCCATTCCAGTCAGGGAAGACACTGGGGTAATCAAGTAAGACCTCACGAAGAAGATGCTCAAGTCGCATCCCTGACTGAAAAACTCTACCAAGTGTAACACCTTTTGGGGAGGACTGAGACTTCTTAACGAGACTTGCTAATACCACCCAGGACAAATCCTGTGTTCCCCCTGGGCTCTGCACCATCCCCTACATGGGTTCCCTGGTCCAGTGGCCTTACCTTTCACCTCCAGCTTTTCAAACTCGATTCATTTCTTCAACCCTACTTCTACCTACACCCTAGGAAAGTCTTTCCTAACCCTTCCTGGCTTGTAGATGTCCTCTACTTCCCCAGAAGCCTACAATACCTTAAAATCTATATCACATGACAAAGCATGCAATCACAATCTTATGTTTTCTGATACCTCGGATGTATATGCCATATCTCAACTACATTGTTAGCTGAGAAAGGTAAGAGTGAGGCTGTCTGTCTCTTTGTGTGGTTCCTGGGCACCTGGAACAGTGCCGCACACCTAGGGTGGACTCAGAGTACTTGCAGATCCCACTTCTCTGTGGCCTCCAACAGAGAACAGCAGCCACCATCCTAGCCAGGGAACAGCTACAGCCAAGCTCCTAGGTGGTAACTCAAGGAGTCAGTCACAAAGCTGGATGTAGTAGTTCACGCCTGTAATGCCAGCACTTTGGAAGGCCGAGGCAGGTGGATGACCTGAGTTCAGGAGCTCGAGACCAGCCTGGCCAACATGGTGAAACTCTGTCTTTACTGAAAATACAAAAACTTGGCTGGGCATGGAGGCAGGCACCTGTAATCCCAGCTACTCAGGAGGCTGAGGCAGGAGAATCGCTTGAACCCAGGAGGTGGAAGTTGCAGTGAGCCAAGATTGTGCCATTGTACTCCAGCCTGGGCGACAATTGAGAAACTCCACCTCAAAAAAAAAAAAAAAAAAAAAAAAAAAGAAGCCAGTCACAGAGAAGGGAAGAGGAAGCCCTATCCCAGCTACACTGAGGTATGTGTAGACCCTGCCTCCAGGCCATAAGTCTGACAACCTCCCACTAAGACACCTCCCCCTCCTACCCCAAATTGTGTGCTTTTAGGACTTCTTTTCTTCTTCAAGGCAAGTCCTACTACTTACCTTATTTGGTGCTCACCTACACACCAATAGAGTAAAGAAGAGACATCACAATCGGGTTTGTCTCCGGCCCCTGGCAGGCTTATCCTGAGACCCACGGGCTTCAAGTAAACAGCTTCAAAAAAAGCTGTTATAGGACTCCTTCAAGAGTAGTTCTCCCAAAGTATGGTTCACAGAATATTGTTCCTGTTAAAATGTTGAGACACAAAAAAATGAGTATCAAGTCCCATAAGTTTAGAAACACTGTGTTGAAGAGATTTAGACAGAATCTTGCATTGTTTCATTTTTGTTGCCTTTTCCTCCAGAAAGTTTCAGAGATTTTCACGGGCATTATGAGTCTCCACAAAGGGGCTGGAATACACCATTCCAAATATATTTGACCACAGAACGGTTTTTCCAAGGTTGCTTCCTCAAGAACGTTTAGCAAATTCCATTTAGGACTTCACTTTCAATCTTCTTGAAAGTTCCCGCGCAAAGTTCTCAGAGCTGATCTCCCCAGGCATTTGGCCTTCTTTTAGAAATTACAATAGAGAGGTAGATACAGATACATAAATGTCTCTGAACACCAAAGGAAGACATTCATGGCATAAAATTCAGAGAATAAAGAAATCTACAAAGAAGAAAATTTAAAACCATGAGAAAGTGAATAGCATTGCAGTCCTGTAAGTGTTTTCTATTGAAAACCAGTTAATCCTGCAGAATTTCTGCTACGTGGAAGGACCAGTGTGGTCTTTTCAGATAAATTCTTGCTTTCTTGTCCCACAGATCACAGTTGCATCTCCTCCTCCACTTCATCTATTGAACCCCACTGAGCAAAGAACACTTGCTCCCTATGTAACCCCGAGCACGCTCTAGTCCACATCAAAATCAACTCCCTCAGAAATAAAAGCAAATATAAAATATGTAATGGGTGCTGTGAACATGGGAAGATCACCAAAGAGCCAGAGGAGAGTCACAGGCTTGTCATGGCGGTTGTCACATTTTACCAGGCACCTCCAAGGTATCCAAATTCAGTCATGCATCACTTAACAACATAGATCTGAGAAATGCAGCATTAGACAATGTTGTGCAAACATCATACAGTGAACTTCCACAAACCTAGATGGTGTAGCCTACTACATGCCTAGGCTATATGGTATAGCCTACTGCTCCTAGGTTACAAACCTGTACAGCATGTTGCTATACTGAATACTATAGTCTACCGTAACACAGTGGTAAGTCTTTGCGCACCTAAACATATCTAAACTTAGAAAAGATACAGTAAAAACATGGTCTTTTATGGGACCACCATAGTGCATGCAGTCCATTGTTGACTGAAACATTGTTATGTGGCACATAACTAATAATAGAGTTGTTTCACAGAAACTAAGGGATTTCCAGTGCGAGGAGACCAAAGAGAATAGAAAAATGGAATTCTGAATTTTGGTTTCCTTGTTGGCACAGTGAAGAGATTGGATTACACAATATGTAAAGTCATTGCCAAGGTGAATTTTCAATACAATTACCATTGCTAACTTATCAGACCAAAACAATTATCTCGGAAAATGCCCAAGAGGAAGTAGTGCCAATGGCAAAGAGGGCCAAATCTATCATATCTCTCAGGGACGAAATTCCCACTCCTTCCCAACTTCTCATATACTGTCCCCAGATGAAGTCATGTTTTCGAGAAAAGGATTTAGAGGATAAAGAAGTTACCGAAAGACAAGGCTTGAGCAGGCTGTGCCATCTGTGGGCTGCCCCATTTTGCTTGGAAGCAGCTTTGCTTGCACCAGACCCAGGCTCTTCCCTATTCCAGGCTGCATCCCAACTCATATTTCCAACTGATTATGCAATAACTTTTAGGCCAGTTAGAAATATTAAGTGGAATAATATGTTAATGCTAAAAAAATAAGAGAGAAGGGGAGAAAAGTACTCGATGAAATTAGCTATTATTATTTTAAGTTTTCAAGAAATTACAAAATTCCAAGACCCAGGATCAAACAAAATAGAAAAAAAACGCAGAAATATTGTTCGGCTTTAGTGGCATGACAAAGAAGGCCATTCTCTTTATTAGGCCAGGTAGGGTCTCCCTGCAAAGATCCATGTGGAATCTCACTCTAGAAGGGCTGAAGGCAGGGGTCAAAGATGATTTACTAACAGTGTTACTACTCAATTCCTTACACCTAAAATACCCATTTCCAAGACCATTTTCTCTGGAAATGTCTAAGTTAGTGTTTTGTTATTTTCATCACTCACAGTCAACATTTGCAAGTTCGACCTCTTTGCTGCAATCCTTGCCCTCCTCATGGGCCTTCCTGTCTTCAAGCCTACTCGATGCCATCAAATTAACTATTTTTTGTTGATCACTTTGATCTTTGATCATCTTACTTTCCCACCTAAAACTCTTCACAGTTGCCCACCGAGCACAGAATTAAATCCGGACCCTTCAGCTCAGCACATGCTGCTGCTCTCTACAATCTAGTGTTCCAGACTCCTCCTTTTCTTTCTCTGCCATGCATTTCTTGGACCCAACCAAAAGCCAGCAGGCAAGGCAGCCCATTGAGGCAGAACATTCTTGCAACCCCCCCATGGCACCGAGCAGACTGGGAAAGGAGCGGAAATGGTTCTGATGGAGCAAACAGAACAACCAGCACAGCCACTAATACAGCTTTCAAAATGCAGATAAGTAGAAAATGGGACCAAAAAGTATCTGGAAAAAAAAAAATAGGAGTTAATATTCATATAGTCTTGGGGTTAGGCCTTTCTAAGCAGGACAAAAAGTGTCAGAGCTTGTCCTGGACCCCAGACAGTGTGTCTCCAGAGCCCATGCTTTGTATAGTAATACTTGGATATGTAGATATATACAAATGGAAATAAAGAGCTATTTATGGGTTAGGAAATCAGTAAGTCTATTGTACAAATCCAAAAACTGTTTCATTTCAGTAATCGAGAAAATTTAAGTACATAACGTGACACTATTTTAATCTGTCAAATTGGCAAAATTTTTAAATAGTTTACTGCAACTATTGTTCCAGGTGTAATTCAATGAGCAGACATATCTATTAATACCATTTTTGGGGGGTCAATTGGACAACAAATATCAAAACCCTTAAACTTTTTGTACTCGCATTTTTTTATCCTAAAGAATAAATTATTAATGTGCACAGAGACTTAGCAACAAAGATGTTTAGGGCAGAAGGGTTAAACAGAACCAAATATTGGATATAAATTAAATAACCCTAAAAAAGGAAAGACTTAAATAAATTATGATATGTCTATATGACAAAATACTAGGCAACCACAAAATATGATATTGTAGAAGATTGTTATGACATAGAAAGATATTCTGTTATGCTCCTGAGAGAAAAAGCAATTTAAAAATTCTGTGAACAGTATAATACAGCCTATGTTAAAATATGTATTTAAAAAGCCTAAAGGATAATATAAAATGTTATCAGTGGATATCTTTAGGTGACAGGATTCAAGTGGTTTTTATGTATTTATTTGTCACTTATCTGTACTTTTCAAATTTTCTGCATGAAATACTCGTGTAATAAGAAAAGCATAATAAAAACATTATAAATTAATAGAAAACTGCTTCTTTTAGATGCAGAGTGATTTTGTACATGATCTTGAGCAGCTCTGTGATCCCATCCAGACTATGAACTATACAACCCCAGTCAGCCACATTCTTTAGTAAGACTAACTTATTTCCAAATCAAACATAAAGTAATAATGATCATAATCTACTGTAATTCAAAGATAATTTTTCCAAGTGCAGAAAAAGGACAAGAAGAGGTACAGGTGAGTTCCTCACATCAAAACCTGGCAGCATGAAGCCAGGGACACTGACCTCTTCATTCAACCTTCTGGGGTGCAGCCTTTAGATCCTGCTGCTTTGTAGCAAAACTTCCAGTGCCTACAAAACCCTTTGTGAAACTAAACCACAGAAAGAAAGAACCCTTGTCTCGCAGCTAAAGGCAATCTGCCAATTTATTTTCATCCTTCATCTAATTCTCAGTTGGCCAGCTAAGTGAAAAAGGTAACCAGAGACAGGAGAGAAGGCCAGTGATAAGAATGACAGATAAGGAAATAAAACATTCGTCGGAGTCCATTCTCTGTGTCACCAACCCATTTTATTTGACTCGCAGTGAGAGTGGCTGTTTAAATAATCTATATTGCATGAAAAAGAAAGGACAATTGGACAGAGAATGATACAGAAAGAAGATGCACATATTCTAAAACACGGAATAGGACATGAGAAGAATGTTTACCTAGAGAAAGGCTGCTCCTTGGTTAGACCTGCATCTTCTAGTCCCTCCAGAAGAGAACATTGTCCTTTTGCTGTTTGGAAATATCTCCCTGGTAAAGCAGAGGCCATGCTGGGTATAGGATGCTTGCAATGCATTCCTAGTGGGACTTTCAGAGGCCAATGCATTTATACTTGAATTCACTCAGCATTTAGTCCAGCATTTCACATGCTATAAGCACTTGGCATATGTATATTAAGTTGATTTATCTCCAAAATATAAGAAAAGATCACAAGAGGCCAAGAAAACTGTTTCTTCCTTTTGGTGTTCAAGTGCTATATGGTCCAGTAGAGGTCAGCCTCTCACAATTGATTTAAGGACAAAAAGTAGCCCTCACCCCCAACTTTATCACCCCCCGCCAAAATCCTTAGCTTCTAGCTGATGGTACGGTGGAAAAAATCCTGTAAATAGAAGTCACTGCATGATGACCTGAGGCAAGTTACTTAACCACCCTAAGCTTCGGTTTCCTTATCCGCAAAAAGGTGGGGTAAGAGAAAGGAAGAGTTTTACGAGCAGAATTTAGGGCAGGATCTGACATGAAGTAGCTGCCAGTATTGAATGTAATTTCCTTGCCTTTCCCTCTTCCTTGAAGTCTCTTCATTTCATCATCAGAGATAAGACAATACCCTTACCAGAGGTCCTGATGGGTTTAAGTTCACACTGAGTTATAAATCACCAATATTAGATCCTTTCTTGAAAATTGCTCCTAAAAAGAAGAGGGAACTGGGTGCCACCAATACATGAACGACAAAGAAGAGGTGTGATGGAGGGGCTAACGTGGGGGTAGAATAAAAACCTAAGGCAACAATATCACCTGGTATTAGTTCTCAGAATATCAAACTTAGGCAAAAATAGATTTAAGTTTTTAAGTGCTAGACATACATACTGAAGTTGAGCAATTATATAAAATATTCTTTTTTAAAAAAAAAATTTGAGACAGGGTCTCGTTTTGTCACTGCAGCTGGAGTGCAGTGGTAGAATCACGGCTCACTCCAGCCTCAACCTCCTGGGCTCAATTGATCCTCCATCCTCAGCCTCCCTAGTAGCTGGGACTACAGGTGTTCACCACCACACCCAGCTAACTTTTTTATTTTTTATAGAGACAGGGCTTTACCATATTGCCCAGGCTGGTCTTGAACTTCTGGACTCAAGCGACTGGCCCATTTCAGCCTCCCAAATTGCTGGGATTACAGGTGTGAGCCACCACACCCAGCCTATAAAATATTCTCAAAGTCAAAATCATAAAAGATATCATGGGACAGGCATCAGGAGCCCTGGGTCCTTGCTCCAGACCACTCTCCATGCCCTATGGGAGCCCTGTAGTACACTTGGGTAAGATCATGAACATCAGTATCAGATACTTGAACTCTAATCTCCATTCTGCCCCAGAAGCTGTCTGACCTTACACAAGGTGCCTAATCCCTGAAGGCCTCAATTTCCCCTGTAGTCAAATGGGGGTAATAATGACTTGTTCATGAATTACTGAATAGGTAAATAAGATAATACCTGTAGAACATTTAGCACTATGTCTGGCAGTTTAGGTCTTCAAACAATGGGAATCTCTACTCATTATCTGTGTGATTGTAGAAAGGCATTTCCTCTCTCTGGGTATCAGTTTCCTCATCTACAAAAGAGGGAGGAGGTAATTGGAAGATCAACATTAGGGTCCCTCCATAAAGAAAACTTGTCTGATTCTCATGCAAGGCCCAGCATCTCTCAAGGCAGCTCTCTCAAGGAGCCCAGCAGCTCGAGCTCAGGAGCATGGTCTGAGCCTGGCAGCTGCTTCCATCACACAAAGCAATAGGACAATGTTGCAAAAGGATCTGCAAGAGAGGCAATTCCATCCAGGCCAACTTGAAGGAAAGACTTTGTCAAGATCATTTTGAAAATGAAACGTGACTTCCTCTTTTGTTTTGTTTTGTTTTCAGGTCAAGAAATGAGAAGGATGCCAAGCTGAGCACAGTCCCTGGAGGCTTCTGCAGGATCACATGTCTCTGCAGAAATGCCATTTTAACTGATGTAAGTGTGAAGGACTTGGAGCCCCAGGGATTAAATTTCTGCTGAAATACACATGTTTTTTGAGGAAAAAAAAAATAGAGAGAGCTCTTGACCCAGGGGAATGCAAAGCTTTTTGGAAAACTGTTGGAAGCCTGATATGGAGGGTATCAGATGCCCGTGGCCTTTCAAGGCTTCCCTCGTGTTGTAGGTTAGCATGAGATCACACCTGGCCCTGGGCTGGGGTCAGGGAAGAGGGACACCTGTCTTAGCTTGTCTCACATATACACATACACATTCCTAGGCCTGGGAACTTTTTTCCCCCCACAAAGACATGTTTTATGACTGTACTTGTGTTTTTATGACAAAACAATCCCACATTCGTCTGAGAGGAAGTGTGATTCAAGCAGCCTGGGAGATGTGACACCTGGGCTCTGCAAGGCTGGTTTTATCACAGCTCACCTTATTCTCTCAGCTCACTGCTAGGGCTGCCTTCTCCCTTTGCAACGTGGGTCAGAGGGAGTGCCCCGCCAGCCCTCCCTTTGGTGAAGGGGTCAGTGATCATTTGTGGGAAAGAATATTTGTCTATCCAAAGATCTGGCTGTGAGTCTTGCATGTCATCTCACTTCTCTGAGCCTCTGTATTCTCAGCTTTTGAGAAAGGTGCAACACATCTTCCTCCCAGCTGGTTGTAAAATTTCAGTGACATAGTGTGCGAAGGTTCTTACGAAGTATGAATAACTAAATTCATGTGATGTTAATATCTCCATCGGTGATTATTTATAGTCAAATGCCTGCTGTTTTAAGGTAATGAGGGCATTTGTGTGAGTGCATAAGTGTGTGAGTGTGTGTGTAAGTGTGAAGACACTTTGCACAGAACAAGGGATATTAACAAGTGCAACTCAAGAACCACCATCCTTAAAGTACCCATCATCCCTGGGGATCAAAAGAGGTAAGTGTCTAAACAGATAAATAAGTAACACTAGACAGCAAAGAGAGAAGATGCCCCAGGCAAGCCCAGGGCTGGTGATCATGGATAGTAAGAACTAGAAAGAAACATGGATGCGTGAATGGGGATGCTCGGGAAGGCTTTGTGGAAGAGGGGAGGATCTTCTGGGTCCTTAAAGTAAGGCAGAAAAGACTTGGTAGGTAGCACACAATTGGTCAGGGACCTGCCAACACCCTGTTCCCCTGAGTGTATTCAGTGGAGTTCAAAGGAGTCCCCTGGGAGTGCCTATATTATAAATCTTTTCACAGGGCCGGGCGTGGTGACTCACAAAGTGCTGCAATCCCAGCACTTTGGGAAGCCAAGGCGGATCACTTGAGGTCAGAAGTTCGAGACCAGCCTGTCCAACATGGTGAAACCCCATCTCTACTAAAAATACAAAAATTAGCCAGACATGGTGGTGCATGCCTGTAGTCCTAGCTACTCGGGAGGGTGACGCAGGAGAATCACTTGAACCTGGGAGGCGGAGGTTGACGTGAGCCAAGATCATACCACTACACTCCAGCCTGGACGACAGAGCAAGACCCTGTTTTGTTTTGTTTTTTTCCTTTTTTAAAAAAAAAAAAAAAACCTCACTCAAATAAGACAAGTATTTAGTAAACTTCCCATAACATCTTTTCTAACTGAAATAGGGCTATGTTAGGGCTATGTCATGTTGTTGCTGCACTTTATGGTTTTTCAGGACTCAGTGGGCATTAGGGATGGTGTGAAAGAGACATGCTCTCATGTTTCCTGCCTGGAGGAGAAGGATCCTCAGAGAGCCTCAGCAGGTGGTAGCAGCAGGAACTGCTGAAGGCCAGAGTGAGAGCCCAGAGGGAGGAGAAAGACAAAAACTGGTTGGAAACCTGTGCAAGAAGCAGGTAAACCTCCAGATCTTCACCATCAGCCTGCACAGCCCAAATGTTGCCATCTCTTAGCCTGGCAGAAGATGGGAGATTTAGTCTCTGAACAAATTAGACAAGTAAGCTCTGGAAACAGGAATAGTAGGCACAGCTATGAGCAGGAGAGAGACACTGCACTGAACACAGGGGCACTAGGTAAGTCCTTATAATGAATGGTGGGCTTCGCACCTCTTCATCGCCTTAGAGAACTCTTAGGAAAGTGGCAGTCAGGTTTACAGCTCCCAGCCTGGAAACTAAAGAGCTCCTCTCTCAGATAGGCCCAAGCAGGGGGAATAAAACACCTATAGATGTTGAAGTTTCATCTCCAACAAATGATCCCGATTCCTACCTGAGCATCCTATAGTGGCACCCAGAAATCAAGGAACCCCTCCTCAACACAGCTATTCCGTTCAACCTGTGAGTACTTCAACCTTTAAAAGGATGACTTGTGGGTATCTAGGACTTGAGGAAAGTCTTAGAGAAATGTAGAAGAAAAAGAAAATTTTAAACATATTTAATATAAGAGATATAACAAAGAATGGAACAAGATTGAAAGCTATGAAACAAGAATAGGGTGCTGTTTGGCCAGGCGTGGTGGCTCACGCCTGTAATCCCAGCACTTTGGGAGGCCGAGGCGGGTGGATCACCTGAGGTCAGGAGTTCAAGACCAGCCTGGCCAACATGGTGAAACCCTGTCTCTACTAAAAATACAAAAATTAGCTGGGCATAGTGGCAGACGCCTGTAATCCCAGCTGCTCGGGAGGCTCAGGCAGAAGAATCACTTGAACCCGGGAAGCAGAGGTTGCAGTGAGCTGAGATCGCACCATTGCACCCTAGCCTGGGCGATAAGAGCAAAAAAAAAAAACACACAAAACAAAAAAAACCCAAAAGGTGCTATTTAAGAAAGAGTCAGAAATAAGTCTTGAAAAATTAAAAATATGCTAGCAGAATATTTTTGTAAATTGAAAGGAGGCTGGGTGTGGTGCCTCATGCCTGTAATTCCAACACTTTGGGAGGCCAAGGTGAGCAGATAGCTTGAGCTCAGGAGTTCAAGACCAGCTTGGGCAACATAGTGAAACTCCATCTCTACAAAGTAAAAAAATAAATAAAATTGAAAGGATTAGAATAGAAAGGTCTTTAAAAATCTCCCAATAATATATAACAAGAAGAAAAGGAGATAAGAAATCAAAGGCAAAAATATAAGAAAATTATACAATCAATCCAAGAGGTAAAAGAGATAGGTAGTAGGACTCCTGAAAAAGAGAAACAAAGAGGCCAGTCACAGTGGCTCATGCCTATAATCCCAGCACTTTGGGAGGCTGAGGCGGGCAGATCACAAGGTCAGGAGTTTGAGACCAACCTGGCTAACATGGTGAAACCCCATCTCTACTAAAAATACAAAAATTAGCCTGTGTGGTGGTGCATGTCTGTAATCCCAGCTACTTGGGAGGCTGAGGCAGGAGAATCACTTGAACCCAGGAGGCGGAGGCTGCAGTGAGTCGAGATCACGTCACTACACTCCAGCCTGGGCAGAACAGAGTGAGACTCCATCTCAAAAAAAAAAAAGAAAAAGAAAAAGAAACAAAGAAAGGGGAAGGGGTAAAATAACTAAAGCAGAAATGCAAAAAATTTTTCTAAAACTGAATAGAGTTTTCAGATCTAAAAGACTCACCAAATGCCCAGCATAACGATTAAAAGAAAAATCCACTGCAAGGCCCTTCATGTGAAATTTCATAATACCAAGGTTACAGAGATTTTTGAAACTCTAGAAACACCAGGAACTGGAAGGAGATTGTGCCAGTTACTAAGCTATTGTCCCTCAGCCCCGTCCCACCCACAGCAGGGACTCTCCCAGCTGCATTTCTCCCTTGCACAATGGCTTCCTGGTACAGTCGTTAACAGGTGGTATAGACGGAGATTGGCAACCTGGATGGAGAACAAGGACAGGCTCTTTCCTGTTTTCTTTTATCCCTATCAGCATCACCTCTGTCATAGCCCTTCCCCTGGCTGTGGCACTTGATCGATCTCCAGCTTTTGGGTATTTTACTTTTCTGGAATTCCAAACCCAACCTCATGCTACCCTTCAGGGGTCTCAGTGCTGGTTGGCCTCACCTCTTCCTCAAAGTTCTGTATCTCAGCTTCAAGAGGCTCCTTCTTCAAACTCTTGGGTTCTGATTTTCCCAAGCCTTCCTTTTGTTGCCATAGGTGTGCTGATGGCTTCCTCTAGTTACTAGCTTTGTGTTATCTCAGTATCCCATCTTCATTTCCTCAGTTCTTTAACACCCGTTTAACCTTCCTTATATTAAATTAATCTTCTGAAAATAAGTGATGTGGTTTCTGTTTTATGACTGAACTCTGGCTGATAGAGTACTTGGTACCAGAAGCGATACCAGGGGACAAGTCTTCTGAGAATTCTGGGATTTGTTTGGTACAATCCTGAGTCTATACTTAAACTGCCAATCAAAGAAAATGCTTAAATACATTTTCAGTGAAAAAGGGTTTCCAAAGTGTTATCGCTCATGCACACAGAGCCACTGCATGATTTACTCTACCAACACCAGGAGAAAACCATGAAGAAAAGAGACACTGAATCCAAGAAAGATGCTTTAATAAGGTCACGGAATGAAGGAAAGCTAGGATGAGGGCAGAGAGAAGTTTGGGGCTGACAGCTGAGCTCCAGGACTAGAGTAGCCAGTCCAGACTGGAGCAGGTGGGAAGAGGCTCTGGAAAGATAATATCTAATTTAAAACTGGGAGAGTGATAGAGGCTATGATAAACATATTGAGAGGAGTTTAGTGATTCTATTGGGAAGATTGACACTGATGTAGTGAAGGGCACCTGGAAAGCTAATTTTAAAAATTATTTATTTCAAAGAAAACACGTATTTACAGTATACTACACCATTCAACTGTGAACAATATTTACAGAATCATAAGAATGCCAACACTAATATTAGTTGAATAAAAGTATCTAATCAATCCATAATAAATAAAGGATGCATAGAAGGCTGAATAATGTCTCCCAAAGATATCAGGTCCTAAACACCGTAGCCTGTAAATATTACCTTATTTGAAAAAAATGAAAGGGCCAGGTGCTGTGGCTCATGCCTGTAATCCCAGCACTTTGGGAGGCTGAGGCAGTTGCGTTGCCTGAGGTCAGGAGTTCAAGACCAGCCTGGCCAACATGGAAAAACCCCATCTCTACTAAAAATACAAAAAAAAAAATAGCCAGGCATGGAGACGGGCACCTGTAATCCCAGCTACTCGGGAGGCTGAGGCAGGAGAATTGCTAGAACCTGGGAAGTGGAGGTTGCATTAAGCTGAGATCACGCCACTGCACTCCAGCCTGGGCAACAGAAGGAGACTCCATAAAAAAAATAAAAGAAAAAAAGGGGGGTGGGGACGACATCTTTGCAGATGTGATTAAGGATTTTGAGATGAGGAGGTTATCCCGCATTATTAAATAAGGCTTAAATGCAATTGAACGAATTGTTTAAAAGGGAGGGAGAGAGAGATTAGACAGACACACAAAAGAGGCATAGCAATGTGAAGACAGGGTCAGTGAGCAAAGTGATATGGCCACGAGCCAAGGAATGCTGGCAGCCCCTAGTAATTGGCAGAGGCAAAGAAGGATTCTGCCCTAGAGCCTCCAGAGGGAGTGCAGCCCTGTCAACACCTTGATTTTGGCCCAGTGATACTGATTTTGGACTTCTGGCCTCCAGAACTATGTAAGGATAAATTTCTGTTGTTCAAGCCACCAGGTTTGTGGTCACGTGTTACAGCAGCCACAGGAAACTAATACAGGGGTATATGGGGAAGGAGATGAAATAGGGATGAATTCACATCTTCCCTGCAGGAAGTCAATAGATTTTGTCTGCATCTATTGCTAGAGTTAACCATCATTTAAAGAAAAGAGTTACTAGAACTGATGTGGGGACTAGAAATCAGGAGTAGAGAGGACTGTTGTTTGTTGGAAGTCTTATAAGTATCACCTAACTTTGTGAACTATGGGAAAAAGTTAGACAGAAAAAATAAGTTCTGGAGTTCTATTACACAGTAGGATGGCTGTAGCAAATAACAAAATGATATATATTTTAAGATAGCTAGAAGAGAAGATGTTGAATGTTATCGCTACAAAGAAATGACGAATGCTTAACATGATGGCTATAGTGATGACTCTGATCTGATCATTATACAATGTATACACGCGTTGAAATATCACATTGTACTCCATAAATATTCACCATTATTATATGTCTATTGTAAATTTAAAAGTTAATTAAAAATAAAATAAAAATTTAGAAAACCTGAGAAGAGTAAACAATCAATTCCTACCCCTTTTCAAAGAGCATTTTGCAAACTCTTCTTTCTGGACTTAGTTAAGAGAAAGGGGATAAGGAGAATAAAAATAAGGGGGTGGAAGAAACAGAAAGGTCTTATGGCCCCTTCTATGCTCAAGGCTCTGTACAAGGCACTGTAAAAGCATTATGGCCTCTCCTCCTTGCAGTAACCCTGCAGGACAGGTATGAATTTTAGAGTTTGAGCCATTGAGTCTCAGGAAGACAAAGTAACTTTCCCCAAGGTCACACTGCCTAGTCGATCTCCAAAGCCTGCCCTCCAGTCTCTACTGTCTATACTATGTGGATTATAAGAGGTAGACACACAGCGATCTCATCACACTAAGGAACTTAAAGAAGAAAGGTACCCTGTCTGAGGAAAAATTTTTAAAAACTTCATGAGAGTGTGGCTCTTGAGTTTCATAAACAGTAAGAAGACATTAGTTTCTCTGAGTTTTTACTACTTGGTTTCATAGGAGCTGATATGGTTTGGCTGTGTCCCCACCCAAATCTCATCTTGAATTGTAGCTCCCATAATTCCCACGTGTTGTAGGAGGGACCCAGTGGGAGATAATTGAATCATGGGGGCAGTTTCCCTCATACTGTTCTCGTGGTAATGAATAAGTCTCCCAAGATCTGATGGTTTTATAAGGAGAAACCCCTTTGACTTGGCTGTCATTCTCTTTTGTCTGCCACTATGTAAGATGTGCCTTTCATCTTCCGCATTCTACCATGATTGTGAGATCTCCCAAGCCACGTGGAACTGTGAATCCATTAAACCACTTTTTCTGTATAAGTTACCCAGTTTGGGATATGTCATTATCAGCAGTGTGAAATTAGACTAATACGGTAGCCTCTCAAATGCATAGGTTAAAGACCAACCTGCCAGGTGAATATCATTTTTATAATCTGCATTTTACAAAGGAAGAAGCTCAGGCTTTGGGCAGTCAAGTTATTTGTCCAAGTAGTAAGAGCAGTACTAGAACTCTGGTCTTTATCCAGCACATCCTCTGTTCCTTGTATCTCCCTAACTCCCTAATAAACATTTACTAAATTGGGCTGCACTGAGGAGAAACTTGCAGTCAACAGTGGCTCTATGATTAGGAGGGAAGGAGCCCAGGACAGTACTGACTGCAGAAGGAAATGAACTTGAAAGTAAAATGGGGTCTCAGAGAATTCAGAGTCAAAGGATGCAAGTTGGCTGTATTGCCACTGCTTCTCACTTAACCCAAGCTCTTATGAATCTGGAGCTACAAACTGACAAAAAAGAAAAAGCAAGGAAAGAAAGAAAAGAAACACATTTCAAGCAAAGTCCAGCTGGCAGCAGGACAGTCTGGCTATATGCATTGAACCAAAGCCAAAAAAGAACAGAAAAAGTCTCCATCAGACAATCCACCCATTTAAACCCGATCTGCCAAACCAGGGCTCCTTCTTTCCAGTTCCAATTAACAGCCATCCTCCCAGCGCCCAGCGTGCTGAGTCACCCTCCAGTGCCACAGCTGATGGCTCATACAGCTTTGTACTCATCTAATCCTCTGATAGCCTGGGGCTGTATTAGTGTCACAGTAGAAAATTCGCTTCCAAATTGGAACATTATTATTTTACTGTACAAAAGTCAGCAGGGTTCTTGAAGGAACTGCAAACCATCTGTTAACCCTTTCCAATCTTACCTCCCATAACCGCCATCAGAAAATAGGACTTCACCTTATGGAAGTGGCCATAGATCAAGTCTTCCTGGGGCCTCTGGTGCCAGCCTGAGTACATGGACAGCTGCCCTGCTGTTATGATATGAGGTGCTTCCAAGTCTCTCTGAAAACACAAGCTTGATGTCTAAAATCCAAGCTCTGCCACATAATAGCTGAGTTATCTTGGAAAAGTTGCTTCATCTGTCTGAGTCACCTGTAAAATGGTCAAATTTTGGCTGGGCGCAGTGGCTCATGCCTGCAATCCCAGCACTTTGGGAGGCTGAGATGGGTGGATCATGAGGTCAGGAGATGGAGACCACCCTGGCTGACAAGGTGAAACCCCGTCTCTACTAAAAATACAAAAAATTAGCCAGACGTGGTGGCACATGCCTGTAGTTCTAGTTACTCGGGAGGCTGAGGCAGGAAAATCGCTTGAACCCAGGAGGCGGAGGTTGCAGTGAGGCGAGATTGTGCAACTGTACTCCAGCCTGGGCAACAGAGCTAGACTCCATCTCAAAAAAAATTTAAAAAGGTCCAATCCTGCATATCAAATGCCTGAGAGCTACTACCTCAGGAGATCATGCAGCTGCGCAAACATAGCATTTCTTGCCACATAGAAGGCACTCACTGCATCCCTATTTCTTTCCTTCCTTGGTTTACTTCAGCCTTGCCATCTCCTTTTGTTTCTTGCAGATATTATTCCCAGAAAGGAAGAAGATAAACATGTTAACTCCTGGGTATAAATGAATCTTCAGTTCTGCTTCCCTTCTTCATCAGAATAGGATACATCTTGAGGGGCTTGGATGAACTCAAAATTACATGCCAAATTAAATGCATCTAATTTTAATGGTGCTCAGTTATTGGAATCTGTGGAGGAAAGATGCAGAAAAACACAGAAAAACTCCAAGAACCGGGGAGAGGATCAGTCTTAAGTCTCATCATCTTCATCATTTTGCCTGGATACAGTTAGTTGCAAAAAACCTACAGTAGGTAAAAGTCAGTTAATTCAGTGGAAAAGAGTGTTGACTGTTTTATCTTATAAATGAGTAGTTCGAGCAGTACAAATGTAGCCTGAATGTTGTATGGGGCAACTAAGGGAACAAAATTCTCCAGGCGACTTCATCCAAACGTGAGTTTGCCAGGTGCAACATGAAAAAACAAATCAGCCAGCAACTGTGTGGGTATGGGGAAGAGGTGAGAGAGAAAGGAGTCTTTCCCATTCTGCACTTAACCTGGAAAATGTCTTCTTGCTCCCCAAAGTAAGAACAATACAATTATCCTGCTAAGATGCCACAGAATGCAAAGCAATAAAGAGAGAAGGCTCTCCTGAGTCATAAGCAGCTGCAGTAGGCATTTGACAGTGGCTAGAGAAGAAATGAATGTCCCTGAGCCTACATTGCACAGAGTGGTTGCCTTACGGCAACTGCATTGTCCAAAGGTATCCACTGTGAGCATGATTGCTATAAGGAGCTAACATTACCGAGATCACACTGAGAGTAAACGCAAGGCTGTCTTATTTAATCCTCATTACCATCCTATACATTTGGTAATATTCTTATGTCCATTTCAGAAATGAACAGATTGAGGTTAAGAAGCATGTCTAAGGTCATGGAGTTTGTACATGACAGAGACCAAAATGCAAACCTAGATTGCCTGATTTCAAAGCGGCAATTTAAATAATATCTGTACTTTAAGTCTGAAATTTGATCAATTGCATATCAAGAGGTGATTTAAAACAAAATCCAAATTTACAAAAACACATATATCCCCAGGTGGACCTGCATAGGACCCAGAATATCATGGGGTCTAGAAAAGAGAAGGCAAATGTTGTAGAACCAAAGAAGAAGAGGAGGATACATACAGGACCAGGACAGACATCTTTTCTTTGCCTCCCTTGAGGAGGAGTTTTTTCATTCTCATGCAGGAGATTGGTGTTAATAATAGAACAACATTATATTATTTATGGTTATATCTGTATCACTTTATGCTGAGTTAACTATATATTTAATGTAGGTTCAGTCAGTCTCAATAAATCCTTTTATGATGTTTTCATAAAGCCATAAGTCGAAAAAAAAAAGCATCCGAGTATCATTAAGGGTATTATTATCAAACAATATTAGATACTGGTAAGGAAGCTTCGTACCTAATTGCAAATTGCTGTCAAAATTCCACTGTACTGAGACTGCAGGCCAGGCGGACATTTTCCCTTTCCCTATTAGACGGTAGCTCATCACAGAAATATATCCAATGAATAACCCATGCTTTTGACTTTCAAGACACATTATTTCTCTACGCAAACAAAACACCAGGCTTTGCTTCCCAACTCTCTCCCTTTGGTGATGTTCCCAATCAGTTGCAGTTGAAGCAGGTGAGGAAACATAGGACACGATGAAGCAGTATCCTTTAGAATGGGGTGTTGGTGAACAGGTGCTACAAAATATGTCTAGGAAACATGCATATTTCTCCCCAGCTTGAATATCCATCAGGAAGTTGTTCTTTCTGCCAAAGACATTGAATTAAAAGGATGGGAGAAGAACACAAATACATACACGAATGCAAAGCACAGATACTCCACATAGATCATGCAACACTCATTGCAGAGTGTGTCAAAGAAAACTGTGAAGGAATAATTCCCACAGTAATAAACAAGTAACCTTAGGTGGATGCAGAGTGTTCTTGAAGGAGTCCATTACAAAGACTTGGCAGTAGATGTGAAATTTGATTAATTATACATATTGGCTATTGATCATTTCCCTCGCATTAATGAGAATTATCAAAATCTTGATAATTCAAAAGAAGAGAAATTAGATAGAACTGAAACAGAAACTATTTCCTTAGCCATTTACAGTTAAAAGTTTCCTAATTGAAAAGAAACAGAACCCCAGTCTGTTCATTGTTAATATATATTTTTATGCTTATGTTAACTGTATACCAAAATATTTATAGTTCTAATTTCATAGTGTGTCTTGAGTCATCTAACTTAATCACATTGCTTCCTTTAAAATTTCCCAAGTATAAAAACTAGATATAGCTGTAGATGCAGATATTAGTTGCCCTGCAGACAAAATTCTAGAGCCTGGAGCAATAAAAACTAGAAAGCAGAGTACCTTCTGCAACGTTGGCTTATTGGGGGCGGGATGCGCTCTAGGTTTCACAGGTACAGATACCATTAATTTCCCATCACCCAACAGAGGTCTAAGGGAGAGGAATAGAAGTCTGTAATACTACAAACCACTCTCATAGATCTCACACCAATCCTTCCTCTACCCCTTATGATCCACCACAAAACACACATACATTCTCAAAAATAAAAAGAAAAAATTACACACACACACACACACACACACACACACATCAGTCCTATAGGATTAGTATCTCACCCTTAAGATCTCATTAACCTTAGTTACTTTCCTTAAAGACCTGGTCTCCAAATACAGTTACATTGGAGGTTAGTGCATATGAATTTGGGAAGGAAGAACACAATTCAGTTCATAACAATAGAACAGTGTTCAGAAAGCAGGATACAAATTATGTTTGCTCTGTGACTACAGTTACATGAAACATATGCATAGGAAAAAGGAGTAAGGAAGGAAATGCATAAAAGGGGGAAAATTAATTATGAGATAAATTGGCTTATTCTTTTTCTCTATTTTCTGACATATTGTAATTAAAATATCATTTATGACTTTAAAGTATTTTTGAATGATTTACATTCTAAGATATACCATGCACCATGGTAGTTGGTGACAGATTGTATAGCTTTGCCCTTAAGGACTGTCATTCAGTTTAACAAATGTAGCTGTAACACACATCCACATGGCCCAAGGGAGGGGACTTGAGCCTGTACTGACCTGAACAGAGAGGAGCAGTTCTCTTCCTTTCATCTTGATCAGTAATAGCTCAGCCATTTACCTTGTTCCTGGATTAAGTCCATCCCATGAGAAAAATGGAGAAAATAGCAGAATAAATGGAGAGTTTTAAACCACCAAACACTCTACTTATTGGAAACAACACCAAGAGAAACATAGCTTTCCTACTATTCTGCCAATCTCATATATAGACTAAGTATTACAGGTATAAAGAATTATAAGATTTTTCAGGCACTCCTGTGTAATTACAAAAACTTGTTACCATAAGCCCAAGAAATCAAACAGATTCTGAAGAATTCATTAAATGCAAAGCATCATGCAAAACTCATCTTCCTTCTGTTCCCGCTGCCCACCCCCCACCCGCAACAACCCCTAGAACAAACCTAAACAAAAGGCTTGAAAACCAAGTGTAGTTTTAGAGCCAAGGTTGATTTGCATGTGAGAAGGACACATATGCAAAATCTAGCTCATACTGTGAGTCCATTCAAATCAAATACTCAAAGTGTATGTCTTTAACTTTTGAAATCTGGAGAAAAACGCAAATTCAGAGACTCATGGACAAGATCTGACTACCTAGAGCAGAAGCTGCTGGAGCCATAAACTAGTAGGAACATGTAAATGGTCATTTTGGTGATTTTCTCCAGGCTGAGTGTGCAATAGCCAGAGTGAGAAAGTGTTGAGAGCACAGTCTTAGAGGGAGCCCTACAGTTTTATGGGTTTTACCTTGAGGAATTACACCAGGTTCTCACTACAAAGAGCCAAGTCGATCCCTGACTAGCTTAGGCAAGAGGGGAGAAGAAGTAACCATCAAATAGTATACCCAGAGCATTCTTTATTTCAAAAGCCTGTTCTCCCAGGGAAAATATGTTTTCAGAGCTGTATTCCACCTGGGGGCTTTAGCCCCATCTAACTTTTATGTGTCAAATAAAGAGTGAGAAAATAAAATCTAAGAAACCCTCACGAACGTCACAGGCCCACTAAAAGACTGAGCACTGATCGTAAGATTATACAATGCTTCTCCCCCTTCAGACCTTACCATTATGCCAACGGGACTCCATTATAATAACAGTGACTATAGCTAAAAGAACTGCAAGTTGGAGACTATCTAAGGAGGAGCTCCCAGGAAAGCCCAGTGACAACAGAGGAAACAAGGACAACAGAGAAACATAGAGCTCTAGAAGCTACAGTTGCAACAAACATTAAATACAGCCCAATTCCTAGACAGATTAACATAGAACCTCACAGTAAAGCCTATTATTTCCCATTTTAAAAAGGAATTTTAAAGAACACATAATAATTGTACATATTTATATGAGTACAGAGATGTTTTGATAAAAGACGTATTTACCTCAGTTCTTATTACCCAACATATCATGTGCAGTTTCCACAAAAAAGTTAGTAAAAAAACAACGTCTGAAAAGAGGAAAAGAAGTCATTATTCGAAAAAGATACTTGCACTCACTTGTTTATAGCAGCATAATTCACAATAGCAAAATTGTGGTACCAACCCAAATGCCCTTCAATCATTAAGTGGATAAAGAAACTCTGGTATACATATATATGATGGAATACTGCTCAGCCATAAAAAGGAACGAATTAACAGCATTTATAATGACCTGGATGAGATTAGAGACTATTATTCTAAGTGAAGTAACTCAGGAATGCAAAACCAAACATAGTACGTTCTCACTGATATGTGGGAGCTAAGCTATGAGGATGCAAAGCCATAAGAATGATACAATGGACCTTGGGGACTTGGGGGGAAGAGTGGGAGGGGAGTGAGGGATAAAAGACAACAAATATGGTGCAGTGTATACTTCTTAGGTGATGGGTGCACCAGGTTCCCACAAATCCCCACTAAAGAAATTACTCATGTAACCAAATATCATTGTACCACAATAACTTATGGAAAAACAATTTTTTTAAAAAAAGTAAGCATCAGAATCAGACTCAGATATGGCATGGATTTTGGAATTTAAAATAACTATGATTATATGTTAAAGGCTTAATGAAAAGTTTTGTTTTTTTTTAAAAAAAGAGAAAGAAAAAAAAGCAAGTACAGATGAATAATGTAAACACAAAGATGAAAACTCCAGGAAAGAGAAATCCAATGTGATTAACCAAAAATATTGTAACAAAAATGAAGAATGCCTTTGATGGGCTCATCAGTAGATTGGATATGACCAAGGAAAGAATTACTGAACTTGAAGATAGTTCAAATAGAAATTTTCCAAACTTTCTCTTCTCCAAGAGAAAAAAAAAAAAGAATTTAAAATGTAAGAAAAGAACATCCCAGAATTGTGGGACAATTTCAAAAGGTGAAGTATTCAGATAATTGGAATATCAGAAGGAGAAGATACAGAGAATGAAGCAGAAGAAATATTTGAAGGAGTCATGGCTCAGAATTTTTAAAATAATAATAAATAGACATCAAACCACAGATCCAGGAAGCCAAGAGAACACTAAGCAGGATAAATAACAAAAATATGTAAACCTAGGCACAATATATTAAACTGCCAAAAAAAAAAAAAAAAGACAAAGACAAAATCTTTAAAGAAGGTAGTGGGGAGTGGAGAAGGACAGGGAAAGACCTTACCTATAGAGAAAGAAAGGTGAAAATTACAGTAGACTTCTTGTCGGAAACTGTGCAAGCAAGAAGAGAGTGGGATGAAATACTTAAATGTCAAAAAAGAAAAAAAAAGCCACCAACCTAGCATTCTATGTCCAGCAAAATTATCTTTCAAAAGTGGAAGAGAAATAAAGACTTTCTCAAACAAACAAAAACAAAGAAAATTTTCTATCAGACTTGCTCTGTAAGAAATGTTAAAAATTCTTCAGGGAGAAGAAAAATAGTATAGGCCAGAATCTCAGATCTATATAACAAGAAGTATGGGAAAAGAAATAAATGACAAGTTCCACCTTCAAAAGGATAATCTTTCAGCACCACAAAACCCATATCTCTATACCATAATTGACATTAAATTTAGAGAGAATGTCGCCTATGAGTATTTTAAAGTGAAGCCTTTATTTTAGGTGGTCCTGATGAAGGTTTCTGCCTCCTTTCTTGAGGCAATTACACTGGAAATAGTATAATATAATCTATGTCCAAAGGGAAGCTACAGACAGAAAGAATTATATCTGATAGAGAAAGAAAAGTCTATAAACAAGAGATCCTGGATCTTATTAAACTGAAAGGTATTGAATAAACTGATCACTTGTAGTGTCACCTAACAACTACATACACAGAAATAAAAGCAGAAAATAGGGATAAAAGTGGAAAAGTGAGGAAAGACTAGAGACATTCATTTGTCCAAGGTCACACAGCTGGCAAGTGGCAAACTGAAATTTAAATCCAGATCTTACTCCACATTGCAATGAATTACAAATAAATCATGAGATTCAGAGTTTCCCAAGCACACAATAAGGGGACATTCTGCAATGTACAAAAACTGACACCAGAATGGTACTTTTGTGACTTTAAGAAATTTCTTTTGCCTAATTCATACCCAAAAGAAGCTTAAAAAGAAAAAGAATAAAATAAAATAAAATAAAATAAAATAAACAGGACAATCTACAACAGTTGTGTCAAGCTGCTGGTCATTGAATTACAGTGGGAAGTCCACTTACCAAGGCTCTTCTAGGAAAGAAGGCAGAGTGGGACTGTTTTCATGGAGTCAGTTTCCTTATTCCCTAGAATGGCTTATTTTAGCAGTAAAGACCTCAGAAAACAGACTTCTAGCTACCATCCCCTGGGGCATCCTTCTGCTGATTAATCACAGCAGCTGGATCACACCAGCTGGAAAACATCCCTCCCTCCTCTGAACTGGCCTAGCACTTAATGTCTATACCATTCATCTGATATTTAATGTACGCTGGATTGGTGATGATATTTATAAGTGCACTATGCTTGTTTTCCTGTAAAATCCTAAGCTATTTGAGAATAAGCACCTATCCATTATCTTCCAAAGCACCCAATGGTAAGCAGGATGCCCTGTAGATGCCCCAGCAACATTGGTTGAGTAATTGTCTAGTGATGAAAGGAAAGTTGTCCAAGTATTCAGGAGTGATGTTGGTGGAATCTTAATAAGCTGTAATGAGAAGGTGATACCCAGATTACAAAAAGCAGAAATACAGTATGTTTGTTAAGAGGGTATCCATTCCTCTATTTGACAAACATTTCTGTACCTGTGCAGCACTGAGCAAATGAAGGATTCATATTGAAAGAATGTGGCTATTAAAAGCAGAGTAGAATTAATCACCTTTCCTAGTGGGTTCCATGTTTTGTTCATATTAATACAGCATTATCATACTGCTCTAGCTGGTTGTATATGTGTCTCTCTACCTAGACTAGGAACTTGCTGACTGGAGAAACTATTTGTCTCTTCAGTGTATACATGGCTTATAACTTATATACTTTATATCTAAAATACATAATTTGCATTTACATTTTGTTCATTTTATTTTACAATTAGTGAGCACTATCTCTCATCTCATAGAAGCCAGGCCTTAAGTGCACTCTAAAATTACCAATAATTTAGCAAGAGTGCAGACAATGCCTGTCCAAAAAACGTTGATTACAACGTTAGTGCCCATATTTTATCTAGCGAATTTTCTCTGATTTTGGCCCTGATTTGCTAACTCATTAGGTATCTAATCCCTGGCCATGCCATCATTATTACCACCCCAAGAGGCTTTGGTGTTTAGCAGTCTTTTTCCAATATCCTGATTCTTCAACTCATCAAATGGCTTTTGGTTCTATCTCTCATATTCGAGCATTAAATGTGCCCATGAGTCCTGTCTTCTTGGCATGGCCTGATAGGATAAGTGTTTACTCCCTTTCAGACACCATGAATATCCTAGTGCCACAAAGATGAACAGTCTTTGCAATCAGATAATTCAGTCAGTGCTGTCAAATTTAACTCCCTGCAATGATAGAAATGCCCTATATATGTGCTATCCCAGCTATCCCATCTGGTAGCACTAGCCATATGTGGCTATTGAATCCCTGAAATGGCAAGTGCAACTAATTACGTGAACTTTTAATTTCATCTCACTTTAATTCACTTAAATTTACGTAGCCACAGGTGGCCAGTGGCATCTGTATTGGACATGCATGAGAGAGACAAACATATTATGACTACAAAAAAAGACAACTTGGCAGGTGCTCTCTTAGTAGCATGAACAAAATACTATGTGAGCACAGAGTAAAGAACAATTACTTTGGCTCCAAAGGCTGAGGAAATTTAGCAAAATGGATGGCATTGAAATTGCAATTTAAGGGACAAGTAAGATTTCATCAAGCAGAGAAAACAACATGAATAAATGCTATGAAGGAAAGATATGTTATTGAAATCTAAGGGATTTAGGAGTACAGAGACCAAAGATGAAACTAGAAAGATTGGTCAGGGCCAATGATTTCTAGAGATGTGCAATAAAATATAGTAGACACAAGCCACATTTGGCTATTTAAGTTCAAATTACATTAAATTAAAATATTCATCAGTTGCAGTAGCTGCATTTCTCGGATCCATAGCCACATGTCACTTGTGGCTACCACATTGGACAGCACAGATATGGGATATATCCATCATTGCAGTAAGTTCTAATGAACTAGACTGCTGTAATGTTTTAAGTTTGTTTATATTTTGGGTTTGGTTTTTAATTCACCTTAAATCCTCTAATGGACGAAGAGGGAAGAGATGAAGAAGTATAAAGCAGTGGAAGCTGTCAATAGGCCAGTTACAATTTGGTGGCAGGAGAATGAGTCAGAAGCGCACTGTCTATTTCCAAAGAAAACCATTTCTTGCCAGACAATATCATTGCCACTGAAGACCCAATACTGCTCCTTATCAAACTCTGGGTCAGCTCAGATTCTTCACCATTTGACAGGAAAATTCTAGGCAAAGAAATGGACATGGGGTGGGGGATGAAAACAAGGAACTACAATGGAAGAACAGTGGTAAAGAAATAAATATTTACTTTTTTCCGTATGATTTAAAAAAAAACAAGAATAGAAACATTACATTCAGTGTGAAAAAACGCAATCTCTTAATATACATGTCTTTCTGTTCCTTTTCCTCTTTCACCTTTAAAAGGCCTTCTATCGATTGATGACTATTAGGTCTTCCCAGCTCTCCATGAGACTGGTACCTAGGCCAGCAATCCTCTGCTATGTAGAGTCAACTTAGAATCACACACACACACGCACACACACACACACACACACACACACAAAATATGTTCAAGCTATCTGTAGCCTCTGTTCCTCAGTAGGGCCACTGTTCTCAAGTTCCTCTCTGCCTGCCTTCTCAGATAAGGTAGGCCTGACATTGTGGAACCTTCATGTCCCCTTTATCCCTTTCCCTTAAAAATCAAAAACAGGTCCTAAATGATTACCTTTTTCTTTCTTTGCTCTGAACCTTGTTCAGTCCCCCCTTATCCAGCAGCTCTCAAAGAATCAGTAGTTCTTTTAGAGTCCATGATGCCAAGATAATTTTTGCCATATTACTAAGACATTGATACTCTTTGGATCTATGTCCCCACTTAAATCTCATGTCGAATTGTAATTCCTAATGTTGGATGTGGGGCCTGATGGGAGGTGGTTGGATTATGGTGGTAGATTTCTCATGAATGGTTTAGCACATCTCCACATCTCTCTTCCTCCTGATCCGGCTGTGAAAGACATGCCTACTTCCCCTTCACCTTCCACCATGATTGTGAATTTTGTGAGCCCTTCCCAGAAGCTGCCATGTTTCCTGTACAGCCTGCAGAACCATGAGCCGATTAAACCTCTTTTCTTTATAAATTACCGAGTCTCAGGTATTTCTTTATAGCAGTGCGAGAACGGACTAATACAAATGTCATTTGCCCTCTTCACTCTTTTTCTTTCACATGTGTATAAGGTATTTTCCTGAAGCCACATGATGTCTAATAATTCCATTGTTCTGATGGTTAATGAAATATGTGTTTCTGTGTTCTGGGTTTTCCAGAACTTTGTAAGGTTGTAGGTTTAGGATATAAACACATATGCTTCCAGAGGTTAGCTCAGTTTGTTCTCGGGATTTCTACTGAGATTTTGCCAGCTACTTCCATTTATACCATCTATAATCTGATATGTGTTATCTCCTTCTGTCCAATAAGCTGTTACTTTAAAATCCCCAAGTTTTCCTCATACCTATGCAGAAGCACAAGAAAAAGGTGAATATACTTTCTGTATTCTTTTGCAAAATTATTTTTCAATTTTTAAGACTTTTCTATTTTATCTAAAACATTATTTTAGGACTTAATAGAATTTTATTCTAAAATAAATAAAAATGCATTTAAAATATGCTTTTCTTGCATTTTTTAGGCTACATTGTTGGCTTAAAGGGAGAAATTAGAGACTTACTTTTTCAACTCACAGCTGCATTATCTAGCTCTAAAATGCTAATAAAGATAATATTGACATATCAGAGTCCTTTGACTCATGAAAGGGAAGAAACTGCCCCAAACTGGGCAAAACTGTAAATAAGAAATAAAAATAAGCAAAAGTTATCTTTTCCTTGGTTTTATAGATAATAATTTACCAGGTGTGTCTTATGTAACAGAATATTGTTGAATGGTATTTTGGTGTCAGTTAAGGTGTGGTATCATTTTGATATTCAGCAGCTAAAGCATTGGCTGAGAAGTGGATATAATAACTGAGATGTTACTAAAGCATCCACATTTGACATCTGCCAACTGCCTACTAGACGAAAAGTCTGTTAACAAAATCATGACACTGCCACTTTCAAAAAACACGTAACTTGATGAATTAAAAATGTGTCTGTAAACAGAAAAACTGAGTTAGTATCTCCTCTGCACAACTGCACTTTTGTTTACAATTCAGTGAGCCTATAGATATGGCTAAACTTGTTGTTTTGCTTGAATTTGTCTGGTATCAGCAACAACTAATGATCAAAGAAGATGTTTTATGTAAGTGCCTGGCAACAAACACAGTGGTACTGACATATTCAAAGTGCTTAATAACTTTTAAAAATCTCATGTTTTATCCTGGACCAACAATGTTGACATTTGCACTGATAGTGGCACAGGAATGGTAGATAAAATTGCTGTTCACTTAGCATAAATCAAGGAAGTGACATCAAACTCTACCAGTGGCCATATTCTTCAACACCACATACTAGCACGGAGGAAAAATGCCAATTTATCTTGAGAATGTCCTTCATAAAGCAGGAAAAAGTAGTAATGTTATTATATTTTAATCTTTGAGTACATGTCTTTTTAATATTCGGTGTAACTAAGTGGGAAATAGGAATAAAGCTTTTCTGCTACACACCTACATCCAATGATTGTCTCAAGAAAAAGCACTGATGTGATTAAACTATGAGCTAAACTACCCGATTTTTTAATGCAGCAACATTTTTTACTTGGAAGAATGACTAGTCATAATACTATGGTTATTTAGATTCGTGCATTTAGCAGACATTTTCTTGAAAATGAACAAAGTGAATCTGTCACTTAAAGAGAAACAATCAGCATTTGTTGCCAATGATAAAGTTTGAGCTTTCAAAAGAAACAAGAATATTAGAAAACTTGTATCCACTGTTATGAGCTTGATAGCTTTCCAATACTTAGTGACTTTTCTGATGAGGTTAGCAATTAATGAATGTGACTTTTAAAAATAAAACCAATTAACATTTGGAAGATTCGCATGACTCGATGAGCTAATATCTTCCAAATCACCAATGCAGGAAAATTATAAAATCATGCATGAATGAAGATATATTCAAAGTGGAAGATAGACCAATATATCTCAATTTCACAGAGCACATAAAGTTCATTGATATGGTTTCATATTCTGCATTGCACCAACCTTTTAAAAATCTCCACTTGTTGAGCTTTGACATATCAAAGAACAGTAATGTTATCTGAAAAGGCAATTAAAATACTCCCTTTTCCAACTACATATCTGTATAAAGTTTCTGCCAAATATACTTTAACCAAAATAGTACATTCCAACAGACTGAATGTATGAGCAAATATAAAAACGCTATTGTCTTCTGTTAAGACACACACATAAAAGAGATTTGCAAGAATAAAACAATGCAACTCTACCCAATAAATATCTTGTTCTGAAAAATACAGTTCTTTTTAATTAAAATATGTAATTTAACATACAACAGTATATTGTTGTTACTATTAAGGAAACTAATAAGTATTTGAATTTTTATCTATTTTAATATCTGCCTTAGTAAACACCAATAAATATGATACACATTTTAAATACCACTTAAGATTCCTTAATAATTTTTATGGCGTGAAAGGACCTACACCAAAAACTTTGAGAGCTGCTACTTGTAGCTATCAACAGTCAACAGTATCTTTGAAGCTAAATGCATCTTGTCCTTAAGGAAGACTTAAGGAAGTCTTACCACCAAAAAGAGAAAGAAGAGAGAGAAAATGATCATTGTGCCTTTTGACATGCTCCCCAGATTCTCAAAAGAGTGTCCTCCTCTGGCTGGCCTCGATTTGGTATCGCTTTACTTCTTTCCACAGAAGCACCACCTGCTGCCACCCACTCACCACCTCTAATCCTGTGATAACGGAAAGAGAGAATGGAGAGGAAAGGAGTGAGGGTAACTTTTATTGCCTCTGCTCTGAGTGTTGGGCATTGTTCTATTTCCTCCCAACCCATTTTTCACTCCTATAAGGATCCTTTATTGGGGACACTAGTGAAGGGCATCGGTGTGACTTACTGGACAAGGCTGGCAAGCCTAGGTTCAGATACTGGCTCCACCCCTCACTCTCTGCTTAACTTTGGGCAAGTCATTCAGTGTGATGGAGACTCAGTTGCTATCCCGTAGAGTACAGAGATTAACCTACAGGGTGATTGTCAGGTTACCACAAAGCATGGATGTTACCCAGCACATAGGAAGCACTCGACAGATCTTAGTTCTTCTCCCCCTTACTCCCACTGCCCTTTGTCCTTGAATCCCACTCCCACCTTCCAGGGCATTGAAGAAGTCAGAGAACTGACAAAAAAGTGGGTGGGGAGTCGAGCTATAGAACACTTACCCCACCCCTCATCTAGAATGGAGATGAGAATCCTTGTCACTATCAATCCCTCTTCTCCAGCCTCTGCACAAGGAGGCCTGGGATAAGTTATTTCCCCATGCTTCATTCCTGACAATCTCTGAGAAATGTTGCCTTTGTGGAGGAAGAAGATGCTAAAAGTGATGCCCCAGGAGATTTTCAGCCTGAACCCTCATGCTGTGAGCAAAAGCCTCTCTGCTTCTCCTCCTGATAAAGTATAATGTTATTATAAGACCCCTTCAGCCCAGGGCCCAGTGTTAAACTGGTTTCCTGTTGAATAAGATGAGACATTTTTAAGACAGACATATGGTGATTCTGGCAGACCTCCAAATGCATTGCTGAAGGATTTGGACTCTACATAGGACACCAAGAGGGACTTGGGCAAATATCATGCTGTCTTTGTCTATGAAAGTTATTTGAGTGTCCAACACCCTGGTGGGGACATGACCCAGTTGCTTGGGCAGGGCAGAGAGAGTTGGAATCAGAGCTGTGCTGGAGACAAGATTCCAGAGCCAAGCCATGAAACTGTAGCAATAAATGGTTTTCCAGGGATTCTGCTCCAAAGCCTTGTGTTTATGATTTCCTCTCCAAGAGCCCCTCGGGGAAAGGGCCATGCCTCCATGTGACATTTTCCAACCTAATAAAGCAAGCCCTCCCTAGCATGGCCATCCTGACCCTGTCCATATCCCCCAGGCATTAACAAACCACCCCTGAGCAGGCTGCTCTCGTCACAGCTGTGGTACTTCTGCCGAAATGATGGTCAGAGCCAGAAAGGATCTTTCTGGTTCATTACCTAACTGATAAACTCTATACTTGAAGAAAACAAGTAAAATTTGAGATATCTCATAGAGCTGGGGTAAAGAGGAATTAGAAGGAGACTGCTTTTATAAACAATGGAATTATAAATTTAAAAACTTAGCCCAGCCACTTTTCTATAGCTAAATGGGTTTTCCAGCAGGATCTGCCTAGCCGAACTCTAACAGAAGCTGAACCACCATTCAAAGTATTCCTAGTAGTAATTTCAACCAACCGTTAAATTTATAACCAAACATAAACTTGCAGCCCCTTTGGAAGCCAGGCCTTATCATGAGGCAAACATTGTGTGTATCGTTCTCCTGGATGGCCATCATGCTAGAAGGCGCAGTATATGAGAGTCACCTAATTGAGAGGATGGTGGTAACAAACCTTTCTCTCTAGCCCTCCTCATAAGAAAGCCTTGAATTTGCAAAGCAGCATCAAAGTTAAGAGTCAACCCAGGCTTCTGAATGAGGAACCGCTGTAGGCACTAGCAGCTTGAAGCTCAAATTTGGGCCATATTGAAAACACTGGGAATCATACAGCAGCGGAGAAGGGAGATCACATGCGGCTTCCAACCTGGTGCCATCACCTACTTAGAACTCTTCAAGGGGAAGGTAGAAGGACAGATGGCTAGCTGGGAACAGTGGCATCTCTGGAAGGTGGCATTGTGGCAGGGAGGGAGGGGAGAGGTGACTTGCATGATGTACATTACACATTGAAGTGTTGAAGAGGTTGTAGAGTGTGTTGCCTTTTCCAAAAGAAAAGTGGAAAAATAAGAACACACATAAGCATATTTGTTTACTTTTTACTTAAGAATATAGGTAATGAAAATGATTATCCATAGAAGGTGATGGGAATGGAGTGAAGAGCGTATAAGAAGCAATGAGATTTCTTTGAGTATATCTTTTTATATAATTTTGACTTTTCAATCATGTTAAGAGTTTACATATTTTTTAAGTTGCAAAGAATATAAAAGGCAAACCCTAGAATTGAATACAAACAGAAACAAATGATTCAAACTATATATAAAGTTTAAAACATACACAGAGAAAAATCATTATTTAAAGTAACATGAATACAATAGGATATGCAGTAGTTCCCTTTATCCATGGGGACTACGTTCCAAGACCGCCAGTGGACACCCAAAAGTGTGGATGTACTGAGCCCTATATACGCTGTTTCTTTCTGTACAAACATATGCACCTATGATAAAGTTTGAGGTGTGACAGCACAACTAGCATGATTTTTTTTTCCTTCTTTACAATTTCACAGATTCACTCTTACCATAGATCCTGGACAAAAACAGCATATGCTTTTTTTTTCTTTCAAGTTAAGAACTTGCACATTTTCACTTAAAGGAAGTATCCTATGGCTTCTTTTTGGCACATCCAAATTGCCAGCATCACTCCTCTTGTGGATTGGGGCCATTATTAAGTAAAATAAGGGTGACTTGAACACAAGCATGGTGATGGCATCACAGTCAATCTGATGACCAAGACGGCACTAAAGGGACTAACAGGCAGGGAACATCCGCGGCATGGAGGAGCTGGACAAAGGGATGATTCACATCCCAGCAGGACAGAGCAGGAAGGTACAGGACAGCACAAGATTTCATCATGCTCTGCAGTAGGGTGTGCAATTTAAAATGTATAAATTGTTTCTAAAATTTTCCATTCAATATTTTTGGACAGAGGGTTGACCGCAGATAACTGAAACACTGAAAAGCATAACTTCAGGTAAGGGGGAACTAATGGAGTCTAAGAAGATGAATTGCAAACAAATTGTGAATTTTACAATTAGGTTTGCTGTTCCTAGTGGCGTTCATGCTGTAATTTGGAACTACTTTGTCTGTGGTGTAATATAGAGTAAATGTGTAAGTAAATTAATATTTTAGGGAGCCAGGGTTTCCACTTTGCAAGAGGAAGACACAGATATGGAATGAGAGAAGCCGGGGGGAAATTTTGTGGTTTTCTACATGAATAGGATGTATATGTGAAGTGTACATTCATATGTGTGTGTGTGTGTGTGTTTGTGTGTGCATTTCTAAATACCACTCCCCACCAATAGGAACCACTATTCCTCGAGAAATGCTGACTCCAGGCCTGGACAATGAAAAGCCTGACACATCTTCAGCCAGAATCAAGCAAGAGTCCAGGGATGATGGACACAGGTCAAAAGACGGAGGAGCTGTCTTGAAGGGGCTCTCATTACCCAAGTCTGGGATGATTGCAGATCATAAGGAGTAACAATAATAATCAAATGTAACACTGAAGAAATGCAGATGTTATTATAATACTGATATTTGAAAAACAGAGAAAGAGAGATGAGGAAGATAAAGGAGAAAAAGAAAGAGAAGAAGTAAAAGCAAGAGAGGAAAAAAAGAAGGAAAAGGAGGCAGAGGAGAAGAAGAGGAAGAAGAGGAAATGTGGGGAGGGGAGAGAAGAGAAATAAGAGTGAAAGGAAAATCTCTTTTTACAAAAGAATGTAACTAGTAAGTGTAAAAGGACTCAAAAAATTAGAAAATCCTCCAGTGTAATAATTAAGGCAAAAATCATCAATGTATGTTAAAAAAATAGAATCTTAAAGTATCACCCCACTGATTATTTATTAAATTCCAGGGATGGTGTGGGGAGGAGGACAGGGAGGTGGAGAGGATGTATTTCTCAACAGAGAGATCTGGGAGTTACCACCTTACCCAAATAGTCACACTTGACATCACCAGTAGTGGGACCGCTGACACTGTATGCCCTTTTGTGTGGTACCATGAGTACACACATTCTTTGTGTGTACTTTGCCATAATTGTTTAACCTGAATTTAATTATGAGGAAACTTTCAAACCAATCTCACACTCTTCAAAAGCTTCATTGTCACGAAGAACAAAGAAAGACTTGTGGATTGGTCTAGATGGGAGGAAACTAAAGAGATACATGGGCAATGCAATAGCTACAGGGTATAGGGAACATTGTCGGGACAATTGGGAATATTTAACTTTACAGACTATTGGGTGATGATATGAAATTATTGTTAATTTCCTTAGATTTGTTAAGGGTGTGGTTGTGTATGAGAATTCTCTCTTCCCTGGGAGTTGCATGCAGAAGCTTTTAGAAGTGAATTGTCACGATGTTTGCAGCCTATTTATCAACAGTTTGGCACCAAGGCAGTGTGTATATACATGACAAGTGGGATGGAACTGTTGAGGCCAGATGATGCCATTGGACAATCTGGGTCAGGGGTGCAAAGTGTACATCATACTGTTAATTATGTATTTTGGTATGTAATTATTGGTATGTATTTTTTAAATTTTCTGTGCATTTCTTATTTTCTAAATCAAATTCACTTTTTCAAGAAGAGGTTTGCCAAGCCACCACACAAGCGTTCCATGCCCGTCCTATATCTCATGTTCCAAAGGAAGAAGTCCTCTGCCACAATCTGAGTATGCTTTGGTGACAGAATCATGCAAGTTGTCACCATCCAAGATCCCCCAGCTTAACACCCCCAGGAGGTTTGGCTGAGGATGGATTCTTTGAGCTTCTTGCAGTAAACTCTCACCTCTAACAGCATTCTGTGCTGGAGTATGCATCCTCCTCTAGCCTCCTACTCAATCTTTCACATATACAGGGTGTTTTGCAATAAAATTCCATTGGTTAGAATACCCTGGAGTACTGAGCTTTTCAGGTAATTAATCCAACCCCCTCCCCCCGACTCCAAAAAATTTCTCCTCACTCCCAATCTTTTGTGCTGGTGCAATTTTTTTTCTGGGTTTACCTTCCTGCCTTGGCAAAGTCAGGCGAAGTTTGTCCAGGACAACTGAGGCAACACAAGGGCCTGGGATCATTTACATCATATACCAGATTGCTCAAGTGCCTGCAGAGAGTGGGGGAATCTGAAATCCATATTGACCTCTGCAAATGCCCTAGAAATTTGTTCACAAATCCCTCATATAAATTTCTTTTTCTTGCCATTTCTATATTTTCTGTTAAATAAGATTATAGGGGTTCAAAATAGCCAAAGATCCAATTAACAAAGTTCCAATTCACTTCTTTTCTTTCTTTCTTTTTTTTCTAGCTTTTTTGTTCAGACTGAGTCTCACTGTGTCATCCAGGCTGGAGTGCAGTGGCATAATCTCAGCTCACTGCTACCTCCACCTCCCGGGTTCAAGCAATTCTCCTGCCTCAGCCTCATAGGGATTACAGGCACGCACCACCACACCTGGCTAATTTTTGTATTTTTAGTAGAGACGGCATTTCACCATGTTGGGCAGGCTGGTCTCAAACTCTTGATCTCAAGTGATCTACTTGCCTCGGCCTCCCAAAGTACTGGAATTACAAGCGTGAGCCACCGCGCCCAGCTTCCGGTTCATTTCTTCAATAACAGACTCGTAAGGAAGGTTCTAGAATACGTTTTGTCAATTCTGTAGAATTATACAACCATGAGAACCAGCTGAATATTTACTAATAAACTTAGAATTTGGATGGTGTTATGAATTTCTCACATTTTAAATATATATGGGGATGATTTAATTAGGTGATGAAATTGAGAAATATTTTTATCTTGGATACCTCCTGTTATTTTAATATGATTTTGTCAATGCCATAATATTTTTTAAAGTGTTCAGGGACTATTGTTTCTGAGCCTGGTTGTATTTTCCCCCTCTAGCTTTATATTACACTTTGCAGCAAGATGTCAATCCTTAAATTCTTCAGTCACAGCAAAAGGCAAACAGTACAAGTATTGCTGTCTCCGGGTAGAGAATGCATTCCATTGTATGACCATAACCCAGGGTTTTTCAACCATTAAAGTTATCCTATGCATTGTAGGATGGTAAGCAGCATCGTTGGTCTCTAACCACTAAAATTCTAGCAGTACCCTCTACCCCAGTCAAAATAGAGACAATCAAAACTGTTTCCAAATATACCAAATACTCCCCAGGACGGAGGGGCAGTGGCAAAACTGCTCCAGGTTAAGAAGATCTGCTGTCACCCAAACAAGAAACCAAATTAAAAACAATGAAGTAAGATGGAACCCCACACCATCTCCATTTCTGACGTTACAGCCCTAATTATTATAAAGAGAGGAAGTATGGTATCATGGAATAATGCTGAGTTAGACACTGGAAGTGCAAACTCTAATCCTGATGCTGGCTCTTTCTTGTGATGTTGGACTTCACAACTTCTCTGAGACTTCCAGTTTGCCATCCTTAAAATAGGAATCAAGCCAGCCGGGCGTGGTGGCTCACACATGTAATCCCAGCACTTTGGGAGGCCAAGGTGGGCAGATCACAAGCTCAGGAGTTTGAGACCAGCCTGGCCAATATGGTGAAAGCCCGTCTCTACTAAAAATACAAATATTAGCCAGGCGTACTGGCGGGCGCCTGCAGTCCCAGCTACTCGGGAGGCTGAGGCAGGAGTGTCGCTTGAACCCAGGAGGCAGAGGTTGCAGTAAGATGAGATCGCACCATGCACTCCAGCCTGGGCAACAGAGAGAGACTCCGTCTCAAAAAAAAAAAAAAAAAAAGAGGAATCAAGCCATAACTACCTTTTCAAACAAGATGTCGTCAAGTGTGTGTTAGCCAGCCAGGCTGCTATAGCAAAATGTCACATATTGGGTGGCTTAAACAACAGACATTTATTTGGAGGCTAGGAAATTCAAGATCAACATGCTGACCAATTTGGTTCCAGATAAGGGCTGTCTTCCTGGCTTGCAGACGGTCACCTTATCACTGTGCCCTTACTTGGAGAAGAGAGAGTAAAAGGAAGCAAGCTTTCTGGTGTCTTTTCTTATAAGGCCACTCATCCCACCATGAGGGTCCCACCCTTATAACCTCATCTAAACTAATCACCTCCCAAGGCCCCACCCCCAAATAGCACATTGAGGGTTAGGGTTTCAACATACCAATTCTGGGAGGACATATTCAGTCCATAACAATATGTAAGTATTATGTTACCACCATAAACAGTAAAGATGCTAGGATTAAGAAAGGAACTGACATTTTATGGAATGCTGGTCATGTGCCAAGCAACTTAAGATTTTGTTTAATTTTCATTATTCTCTGAAGAAACATCATTTCCCCTGATTTTACGGAGTAGGAAGCTGAAGCCCATAGAAAGTAATAGTCCCAAGCTTATAGAGTTGTTAAGTGGGAGCAGCTGGCTTGAAACCTTAGCACCTCCCCCGCCCCCAACTCTCTCATGCGGCACTCCACACTTCCTCCTGGGCAGCACCGTTATCATTAGAGACCAACAACCTTCCCATAGATCTCTATTATAAATGGATATAAATTCTGCTTTATTTCCTATTTTAAATTTGTGCAAATGTGTATATGTTTTTCCACGTATACGTCAGATGCAGTATTTTTATTTATTAAAAAAGGCTTGTCAATATTCTATCTTAACAAATTATTATATGCTTCTCCCTCTTCTCCCTTCCTATACTCACTTATCATCCTTGATTCCTTTCTAGCATTATTTACAGCGCAATATATTAAGGGTCAGTTGCAATATACCCATGGCAAGGAGTAATAGATATAGTTTCAAATAGATATTATAGTTTAAAACTATGTATGTGTGGGTGTGTACACACACACACACACATATATAAGTAAATTTTTAGACACAATTATGAGATTCTTTGTTACATAAAGATTCTATGACTTTAAACAACTTGAAAAACTTTTAGCCTAGAAAATTCCAGGACCTAGACCTTCCAGAAGCCAAATTTTACCATACTCAGATGCCTGAAACAAACTTTGAGACTTCATTGTTTTAGTATATTGACACACAGAGATTAAAATACATATACACACACAACTGTCCCAAGAGCCAATATTCTGCACACAGAGCCAAAAATCAGCTAGGAATTAAGTAACAAAAGAGGCCCACAACATAAAGTGCTTGTCAAACACAGGGGAAAGCAATACTTACTTTTGTTTGCTTGTTCTTTTTCAGACCAATGCAGGGAAGAAGAGCAGGCATTCCCAAGAGCACAGAGGGTAATGGATTTCCATGATCATACAGAAAAGCTTTCAGCCTCCAAACCTCGCTCTCAAACCTCACCATTCCCACGGCATCTGTGAGTATCTGGACTCAACCAGAGCTTGGTAAGAGGGATGTCAATTAAATCTCCATCAGGCAGCATGTGCACTGGAGGTCCTCTGCCAGCTGTGTGACCTTAGACTTCACATCACTTTCTCAGTCTCCTCCCGTAAAATGCCAGTTACCCCTCTATCTAATTTCACCTGTGAGCCATGGTGTGGCTTCCCAATGCACTTCCACGAGCTAAGGATTGCTTCTGACAACAAGGCAGAGGTTCTCCCTGACAATTTCACTTCTAAAACTAGACGTACTGAATGGTCTTCAGTGAAGAGTGACTGAGGGGACACAGGAAGATTCTTGTCTCCCAAATATATCTCTACTAAGTGCCTAAAAGTCTGCTATTAGTTGCTTTTCCTGAGACCTTATACTAAGTGCTGTACTCTGGAAGAGATTCCAAAAGGAAACCATTAACTCCTTAGAATGGACGAGTATATGTGATTCCTGGAGAGACCCTGAGCATCAAAACACTGGTCATCAATGAAAGAGTGAGAAAGGCAGACAGAACACAGACTGGAGGCCCAGTCAGCCTTGAACTAGCCCTGCATGCAAGACAGAGGAGTTCGTGGGTTCTTCACCAGCACAGTGCAGTACCCCACGGAAGTGCTCAGGTCCCTTGCTGAGAATGTGAGATATTGCCATGCAGTGTGGGGAAAAAAAGAACTACGACCCTGAGATCTGAAAGTTCAGCATCCTAGACCCACTGCACTGCTAATCCAGCTGTTTGACTTTAGGTAAGTCATTTCACAGCTGGGATGAAGTTCTTTCATCTTTAGAATGATTGTGTAGGATTATATAAAATCTAAGGTCCCTTTAAGCTTGAATATTCTATAATACTTTTGTCCTACTCTTCTAACTGCCTTACCTTTTACACAGCAGAATTGGCTCCTCCCTCCTCTCTCCTGGCATGGTGGCATGAAACTGTCTTGTTACATCTGCTTACATCAGTGTTGATCTCCTTCTACTAACCCATGAGCTCTTTGAGAACAAGGACCTCACTTTATTCCTTTATTTCCCCAGCACACTGCATGGCAGAGATTAAGTTTGCAGTCAGCGATGGTTGAAAAGACATTTTAAAGTATAAAGCTCTACACAAGCTTAAGATATTAGTTTTATCTTTTTCACCCTAAACAGCCCTGGTTTGCCCTTGCCAAGCCTTTAGGCCATAGATAGTGTGGGAAACTCCAGAACTGAAAATCCAGCCCTTGCAAAACCTGTTTTGTTGTTTTCTCTTCAAAAAGAACATATTGCCTTTATTTTTTTAAAGCCAAGGATGAAATAAAAGCTCTTTCTCAAGTGCCCAACTAGAATTTAGTATGGATAGGACTAAATTAGTTTAGGGTATACTAAAATCAAACCACCAAACCAAAGCTACATCCGTGGTGGGGGAGGTGAGCATATCCTGTAATCAGCTCCCCTATCCCCGCTCGGCCCCAAATCACACCCATCCCTGTGTTTTCTGACCCAGCATTCTCATGAGGCTTTTGTGGCTAAGTCTGTAACACAAACAACTGTTAGGGAAAGCTGCTCTTCCAGGTGAATTCTATTTGAGTTTATTCAAAGCCAGGAGCTTCGGGCCCTCGTCCAGGGTAGGCTAAGCTGAAAACTATCAACCTTCTTTGGTTCACCCATCATCAACCAGCCTCTGCCATGCAGCTGGTTTCAAACAATCCAGGGAATTTGTAAAAGGTCATTTCCCAGGCAAAATGAAAACAGCCAGGTGACTGACCAGCGGCGAACAGGAGCCATAATTAACAATAGCAGAGTCTTCAAGCATGAAGGTTTGAATTGAGTTCAGATAATCACCCAAAGGTTGAAAGACATTCTCAAAACCTTGTGGATTCCAAATTTAGACTGCCATGTGGCTGAGCACAATTTGAATGATGCTTTCTTGGATGGAAGCCATAGTTTCTATTCCAGGTTGGGCCCAAAGATAGGCAAAAGATAAAGAAAGGAAGATAAACTCTAGCAGGTACGATTGAATGGATGGGCTGAACAAGAGTTTGAATTGATAGATGGATAGACAGGTAAATGGATGGATAGAGATAAAATAGAGAGATGAATTTGACTTTATTTGTGTGGTAATCAACTATTCTGGAGCATTTGTTTTTATGATGATGAATAAATTTTTGACAATGAATAAAGCTAGCTTTTGCAGCAAAAAGAGGAATTTGGATCAAGAACTGCCAAGATTAAGAAAAAACTAGAGGAAGAGAGAGAGGTATGGGTATAGGTATATAGATAGATAGATACAGGTATGTGTGTGTGTGTGTGTGTGTATATATATGTATACATATATACGTGTGTATATATATGTATACATATATACGTGTGTATATATATGTATACATATATACGTGTGTATATATATGTATACATATATACGTGTGTATATATATGTATACATATATACGTGTGTATATATATGTATACATATATACGTGTGTATATATATGTATACATATATACGTGTGTATATATGTATACATATATACGTGTGTATATATGTATACATATATACGTGTGTATATATGTATACATATATACGTGTGTATATATGTATACATATATACGTGTGTATATATGTATACATATATACGTGTGTATATATATACACACACATATAGACAGAGATATAGAGTTAGAGACAGAAAAAATGTGTGGATGTATATGGAGAGGAAAATAGAGATCACTCCATGGCAAACAGGCATCACTCAGCCCTGGAGGTTGAGTCATTGTCCTATCAAAGGTGAAGCAATGGCCTTTGGAAGTCAGCCATGGTTCAAGATTCAGTTGTTGATCATGCCCTTCCTAATCCTCACACTGAAGCAGTTATCCTAGAGTAACATGTCCCTAACAAGAGTAGAAGCTGTTCAATATCTGCAGAATGTATCTGGGAACCCAACATTGTAGGAAACATTTACTTATAGCTGCATTTTGTTTTTCAATTGAAAGGGAGACAGTAAAATTATTAAGCTAATCTCTCATATCTTGAATGCACAAAATACTTTAATGTAGGTTATCTTTCTTGACACAGCCAATCTATGAAGCAAGCAGAAATCCCTATTGTTTGGTTGTTGGGTGTTTTTGTTTTTGTTTTTGTTTTTGTTTTGCTTTTTTTTTTTTTTTTTAGTATTTCCCATTTAAAGGATAAAAAAACAAAAACAAACAAAAAAAGACCTACTGAGCCTAAGGAAAATAAGTACCTTAAGTTGGGTCACGTAGCTAGGGAGGAATGGTTAGAACCCAGATTTCCTATCTGGGTCCATTTCCTTGTCCATCACTCTATGCCATCTGTCATTCAGTGCTCAAAGGTGTCCACAGAAGGCTACATTTAGAAATGTCTGACCTGGAAATCATGCATAAGAGGGTTATAAGCATGCACACATTTATTTTGTTTGTTTGCTTGAGTTGTTTTTTTTTTTTTTTAAATACGCTATGTAACCTTGATCCAATTATTTCTTTGGCAGTGAAATTGAGACTTCTTTTCCAGTCACTTCCTCAGGACTAATACAATGACTCAACACTGCAGGTATGAGGAAAGATACATATTCTGCCTTCAGAATCAGATTCAAGATGAACTCATGACTAATGATTGTCAACTGTATGCCAAGTATTAATAGGTATCTTGCGTTATTTAATCCCTCCCACGACCTTGAAGTGTAGATATTATTTTCTCCATTTTACAGAGAAAGAAACTAAGGTACAAAGTGATGAATAACTTGCTAAAGGCAACACACCTACCATTCGCTTTGTATGGTTAAATACTAGGGTCAAATCAATAGAAACAGAAACACATTCTATAAAGATTCAGAGAAAGGTGAAATCATTTCCACTTGGAGTAGTTCAGGAAGTGTGTGCTCCGTACTGAAGTATTGCAGAGGCATCTTCTAGAAACTTGAAAATGTGTGATGAGAATTGTGTCTCTCCTCCTGCCCCTTTGTAGGAGGGTGTGGCATGCCCCCAGGCTGTCTTTTGAGCTTCTTTATGCAAATGATGACAAACTGGCCAAAAATATAGAGCTGGAGAAGTCAGGGATTCCAGATTGCTTTAAAGTGGAGGTGTCTAAGAAGGAGAGAGACCCAGGACAAAGGCAGTAGAGCATGGGACAGCAATTAATCAGTGTAGGCTGAGTTTTAGAAAATAAAAAAGGGGGAAATTTTGAGAGAGTGAAACATGAAATTAAAGACAGCTGCTGCCCCTTGTGACACAGTGCAAGGGTGAGAAGGAAAGATGTGCCCAGTGCCCTGGGAGGCAGTTTAGCCTGTTGGTGCCGACCCCCATTGCCGCGGTTCAAGTCCTGGCTCCTCCACTTACACTACAGGAAATCATCTCTCATCTTCAGGTTCATGATCTGAAAATAGGAAACACTGATCAAAAGAGTCGTGGTGAAAATTAAATGAGACAATCTGCATAAAGCGCTTAAATTGGTGTAGAAATACCACTGCAACCCAGCTTTGGGAGCAATGATTTAAACTACAATCCAATGCTTTCTTGAATTTTGGACTTGTGTTTTCTCAGAATGCGTCACCAATGTAATGAGGATCAGAAGGGAATTGCTATTTTGAATAGGATGGTCTGAGAAGGACAAAATTGAACCAAGATGCAAGGGAAGTGAAGAAGAAAGTTATGTCAATAACCTTAGGGGAAAGTGTCCCAAACAGAGGGAACATCAAGTTAAAAGATTCGTACACATGTTCAAAGAACAACAAGAAGCCAGTGTTGGTAGAGAAGCCAGAAAGGGGAGAACAGTAGGAAATGAGGTTGGAGCAATGGCCAAGTCTCAGATCAAGTAACATCCTGTAAGCCTTGGTCAGAACTTCAGGTATCATGTTAAGTGCAATAAGAAGATGGACACTGGAGAGTTTTGAGCAAGATGGTGGTACCTATTTTGCATTTTCAATTCCCGGTGTGGCACCTGTGCACATAAGAGACAACAGGAGGAGTAGAGTGAAAGCAAGGAGAGCAGGTGAGAAACTCTCCAGTGTTAGGCCAGAGAGGGCTGGGATTTGGACCACAGAGTAGCTGTGTAAGTGAAGAAGTATGTTCAGATTTGAAATCATTTTTAAGGGACAGCAAACAGAATTTATAGATGAATTGGATATGGAGTATGTGTGAAAACAGAAAAGATTTGGGCCTGAGAAATTATTACTACTTTTATAATTTGTATAATCATCCCCCTATACTGAACATGTCAATTGTTTCTAGAAGGCTTGGTATTATAAGGCAATATAATTTATGTGATACACCAGTCAGAATGGCTATTACTAAAAAGTCAAAAAATAACAGGTGCTGGTGAGGTTGCAGAGAAAAAGGAATGCTTATACACTGTTGGTGGGAGTGTAAATTAGTTCAACCATTGTGGAAAGCAGTGTGGCAATTCCTCAAAGACATAGAAACAGAAATACCATTTGAGCCAGCAATCCCAAAGGGATGTACATTGTTCTATTATAAAGACATACGCATGAGTATGTTCATGACAGCATTATTCATAATAGCAAAGGCACGGAATCAACTTAAATGCCTGTCAAAGGTAACATGGATAAAAAAATGTAGTATACTTGCACCATGGAATTCTATGCAGCGACAAAAAGAACGAGATCACATCCTCTGAAGGAACATGGATGAGGCTGGAGGCCATCATTCTTAGCAAACTAATGCAGAAACAGAAAACCAAATACCGCACGTTCTCACTTATAAGTGAGAGCTAAATGATGAGAACACGGGGACACAAAAAAGGGAACAACAGACACTGGAGCCTACTGGAGGGTGGAGCATGGGAGGAAGGAGAGGATAGGAATAATAACTATGGGTACTAGGCTTAATACCTGGGTGATGAAATAATCTGTACAACAAATCCCCGTGACATGAGTTTACCTATATAACAAACCTGCTTATGTACCATTAACAGTTTTAAAAAGGCATGTGATAAATTTGTTTCTGTAATAAATATAATAAATTCTATTTTATTAGACAATTTTCTTGTCAATCTCTAAGTTCTTGGCATGCAAGGAATATTAGCCTTTTTATATATATTTGCACATATTTCCTCTCTCCATCATCTTCTTTCAAAATTTTTTGATATCTTTTACCATAATATATTGTTTTAAGTTTTATGTAACCAAATCTGTTGATTTTTCTTTTATGATTGCTAGGTTTCTTAAAAGTTTTAAAGAAGAAAAGCATAAAACCGTATATACCAGGACCTTTTTTTGAAGTAATCCTCTAAACTTTTTTTTTTGTTTTTCAATTTTTTCATGGCTACTCTTCTGTTTCGGTTTTGTACTTCTTCAGTCAAGTTGGTGATTTATATGTATAAGAAAATTATTTATTTACATAGTATTCTAAGGATTACTGGCATACAGTTGCCCATAATACTGTTTTGCTCCTTAAATCACCTCTTTCTCTAAGGTACATTCTCTTTCTTACTTCTAATATTAAATATTTGCATTTTCACTACATTTGTGATTTATATTTGCCAGAGTTTGGCCTATCTTATTATATTAAAAATAAATACCTATTGACTTTGGGAGGCTGAGGCGGGTGGATCATTTGAAGTCAGGAGTTTAAGAGCAGCTTGGCCAACATAATGAGACCCTGTCTCTACTAAAAATATAAACATTTAGCTGAGCATGGTGGTGGCTGCTTGTAGACCCAGCTGCTCGGGAGGGTGAGGTAGGAGAATCACTTGAAGCTTGGAGGTGGAGGCTACAGTGAGCTGAGATTGCACCACTGCACTCCAGCCTGGGTAACAAATTAAGACTCCATCTCAAAAAAATAATAAAATAAAACAAAACAAATTGTTATTGGATTTATTAATGCATTCTATTACCTTTAGGCATCTAATATCAACCTTCAAAAATTTCTTCTTGCTTTCTTTAGTTTTTGTTTTTTTATTTTTGTTTTTTTTTTCCTGGCTGCTTGCATTTCTCCATTTAATTCTCCTTCATTTTTATTGTTTATTTCTGAAAATATTCAGAGCAGTGACATTTCTCAAGAACAACATTGGCATAAGTTTGATATGTGTATTCTCATTGTTGGTTATTTTCTAATGAGTCTATTATTGCAGTTTTGATTTCTCTGTTAACCTATTAACTATTTAAGGTCACTTAAATAGTTTTAAATTTAAAATTTTTACTGTTAATTTTTCTGCATGTCATATTATGATTCAAGAAACTCCTGCCCTGGTTAAGTTCAGTGGAAAGACTGTTCAAAGAAACCAAATATGTGAACAGCTGTGGGTAAGTCATATTGAAAAAAAATATTGATCCACCTCTTACAATCTTGCATCTCTGCAGCAATTGCTGACAGCTACACAGCTGCTGTCTCACAGCAAACACAGGAAAGACTGCGGAGGCGCTCTTTCAAAGTAATAATTTGGGAAACTTCTCAGAAACCTTCATCTGTTCATTCTTGAAAGATCTCATGGGTTTGGTTGGTTGTCTCCTCTTCCTGACAGTGGTGATAGGGCCACTGAGCATGGCCTCTGTGCACTAGTGGCCCCTTTTCAGTTTCACAAGATCGACTGCCAGCCTGGCTCCATGACTCTCAGTGGAAGAGGAGGTGGTGGTGTTCACAGCCAGTAATAGTTACTTAAAACATAGCAGGATTAAGATTCCCCAAATGCCTGGTATCCTGTGGTCACTGCCACCCGTATCTATCTAGAGAGAAGGCAGTCGGGAGAATGGCAGTGGCAGCAGACTCTAAAACCAACCTAGTCCCTGGGCATCATGGGAGTTTGCACAGACTCTTGGATGAGGTGACCCAAAGTGGCCTTCTGGTATCAACAGTTTCCCCTTGAAAGTTTGCCATATCCTTTTCTAAGGAAACAAACAAAAAAAAAACCTGGCAGGATATCATTTTAAATGCCTGACTTTGTGCCAGGCTCAATGTGAGTATAACCCAGAGGTCAGCTGGGGGCCTTCTGCTCCTTGCATTCTTGACTTAACTTCCTTGAATTGCTGCGCCCCCCACACATTACATCAGACCTCCATTTCCAAGGTCTGGGGAAGTTCAAAGTTTGTTTCCCATCCATGCTCCTCCTTCAAGTTCCTGTAAAATCACAGAGATGTCCAGTCTCCAGATCTGCCTTCTACCCACTCACAAGGCAGAATCAGCCTTTCTTCCACATCCACAGCAGAGCCCATCACACCCATCTTCTCAGATTACTTGAGGATCAGGGTAGAGGTCATAACATCAAGAGCGTGGCATTCTGCCATCATGTTCACCCCTGTCTGCTCTGTCCTTCTCTCCCAGATCCTCGCCACCTTTCTCCTGAATACCCCAATTCCCCAGCTCCAAATATTCTTTTCTCTCTTATGTGAAGAAGCTTTCTCCTTCAGAAACCTCGGCACCAAGCCCTAGAGGCTCAATTTCTACACCTAATAGACTAACAAGACATTTTTCTAGGCAAGGAGCTGAGACACTCTCTCGGAGGAATTCCAATACATTCTGTGAGAGGGAAACATCTCCTTTTAATTAAAAGAGGAGCATCAAGTTCAAGAAGCAGGAATCAAGCAACTCTGTATTGTTTCTTCTGGATATAAAGTGCTTCACGGGGCCTGGAGCAGTCCAAGGCTGGCCTGCCCTTGAGGTCACAGAATCAAAGGAGGAAGAGGTCACTTCCGGCTGTGAGCTTCAGAACAGGAAGAAGTTAAGACAGTAAATGTGCCACAAATAAGGAGCCAAGGCCCAGAGGCATGGTAGCATCTACCTGTTCTCAATTCAGTACACGTTAACTCATGCATAGGGAAGCAGGTAATATTTGTATCCTGAAAGAATCATCACCATCCTTCAAAACAAAATGGGAATGAGCTTAGAAGTAAGAGAATGCCAGACATCAGAGCTAAAAAACAATAACCAAAGGCTGAAATAAATGGTAGTTAACGGTCTGTGACCCAACCTTCCTGGAAAAGACCAGTAGTTAGAATAAGAGACCTCATGAGTGATTTAAAGCTCCTTTCTTAGGAAAATGTCTGGAAGTTCACTTGAGAGGCTCAGGACATTTTTGTCCTGAGAGTGCATTTGGATCCCCATATAGCATGGAAAGGTGAGGAAGGTGGCTATGGTTAATCAGATTTTGTCCCTTCAGGCCCACATCTGAGAGCAGCAGAGACAGTAACTACAATGCATCAGTGGCATCACATGTATTCTTTAGTTTTCACCATCTATAGAGTAGGAATGATCGTATCTCAATTTACAGGCTAAAAAAAAAAAGTTCAAAATGACAATGTGACTTGCCCAAGATCACAGAATGATCTATGCAGTGACAAAGCTGGATTTCAACCATGGAGCTGCCGCCTCCAGAGCTCCAGAGCCTTATAATCTAGAGGGAAAAGTAAACACATATATGTTAACTCAAAGTCAAGGAAGACTAAGATAAACATGTAATAAAAGAATAAACAACATGCATGAGGACTGTCAGGGAGGGAAATGTTAATCTTGCCCTTTTGCTGCTGCCTCATTAAAATTTGCACTGACCACATCACAGGCAGTGTCAGGAGAGAAGAGCAACCGTGAGGAAGTGAGGAAGAAGATCCCAGACTGCATCTACACTGTCAAGAACAAAGCAAAGGGTAGACACGACCAGATCAAAACTGCAGCGTGCACTGTCTCCTTGCAGGTACATGACTCAAAGCACAAAAGCATCCTCAATGCATGAAGCTATAAGGAGAAGGCACTGTACTGGGAGCCAGGAGAACTAAGTTGTCAAGTCCCAACTTTTCTATCATCTTCAAGTGTGATCCGGAGCCAGCCACAGACAACATTTTGATGATCTGGGCCACAGTGTCTGCAAATTTGAGAATTAGACTAGATTGATTTCCCAGTTCCTTTGCCTGCCCTGAGTTTCCAGGGTTTCAGCACAATGCCATGGGCTCTGTGGACAGTCATGCACAGAGCAAGACTGCCCCTGAACAGACACCCAGATAGAGGACCTCGCAAAGCATAAGCCAACTGTGTTTTTTCCACCTGACCACATCCTAATCGTCAGGGTAGTGCTATTGTCAGGCTGCCCATCAGATAGAACATTCCACCTCACAGATGGATGCATTTCAGTGGGTCGCCAGTAAACTCTGAAGAAATCCCTGCTTCTAGGATCAGATATTCTGAAATAGCAGAAGTATTAACAGACTCTTAATTGTCGATGTAGTTCCCCTGCAGAACCAAAAGTAAGTGAGAGTCTCCTTGTGTGTTCAACTTGAGAGTTCTAAGTTTGGTATTTAAACTCCAGCATCCTCTGCTGCCTGAGTAAATATAATTAAATCTAGGTTTTTGCCTACTAAAATTAATGATCATTCACTCAGTGATGGCGATAATACTACTAATAATAAGTTCTTACGTCAGTACTTTTCAACTTTTCGGATGACTTTGACATGCTTTATCTCACTTGAGCTTAATGATAGCCATTCAGAATAAGTAGGGCAAGTATTATCATCCCCATTAATACTTAGAATAGCTAACATTTAGGTAGCCCTTTGCATTTACAAAGTGCTGTCACACATATTTTCCCATTCTACTAGAGGCCGAATTCCTGGGCATAAGTACTATGTCTGAGTCATCTCTGTACCCTGTAGTGTTTAGATGGGACCAGGCACATGCAAGTCACTCAATACATGCATATGAGATTTTAATTTCATCCTCATGAAAAGTCCATCAGGTTGTAAGGCAGCTATTTTCACCCTTGTTTTCAAATAGGGAAGTTGAGGCTCAGAGAGTTTCACTGACACATCCAAAGTCATATAGGAGTGTACAGATCAAGAAAACGGTCATTTCTAAATAATCCCAAAACATTGTGCTCTTTTTCCTCCATAATAGTGCTTGTCAAAATTGATCACGTGGTGATCTTGTTAAAATGAAGATTCTGATTCAGCAGTTCTGGGGCAGGGTGTGAACGTCTAAATTTCTAACTAGCATCTAAGTGATGCTATGACTGCTGGCTTGAAGACCACTTTTCAAGAAGCAAGAGGACATAGGAGGCCAAGAGCAATTAAATGACTTGCCCAAGGTCACCTCCTGAGTTAAAAGTAGAAATAGAATTATGAGTTATTTCACTGACTCACATTCGGCCCTAAGCTCGTTCTAGACATTTGCCCTCATGATTCAATAAAATGGCACTCATGATTCAATAAAATGGCACTCAGAGTTCACATGAGTCCCCACATACTCCCATCCCATTCACAGTTGGGAAGAATTTCTTAACCTCTCACACTCAAAAATACCAAAAACAACATTTCATTGTTGTTTAAGGAACACACACCAAGACACGTAACCAGAGCAAAAACTGCACTTCAGAAAATCAATTTTGTATTATGCTTCCTGTTATGCTACTAAATTGTACTGGCCCCCTTCAATCCCCAATATTCTATCAATTTTATCCTTATAATATGCCACCTTCCAGGTCCATTAGGCAGAGATCCTCTCTACCCCTTTTGTCAGAGACCCTGGATTCCCTAATAGTCTAGAAAAATTCCCTCTAGGAAAGGTGGACATAGCAGGATCTGGCCCCAGATCAGTACTAGAAATTCGGATCCTGCCAAACAGGAAACAAAACAGCAATCAGTAACCAGGCACCAAACAGGGCCACATGAGCTGGTTGAATAACCTCTCTGTGAGCTTTATATGTTTATCAATCACGCTGATTCATCACCAGAGCTTAGGTAGAGTCCAGTGTTATGCAGAGAGACTAGGTGTATTAGTGAAGGTTCTCAGGTTCTCCAGAGAAACAGAAGCAACAGGAGACATATATATACACACACACATATGTATACACACATACACATATATACACACATATATATGCATATATATACATATATACACATATACACATATATGTATGTATACGTATATACACATATACACATATATGTATGCATACGTATATACACATATACACATATATGTATGCATACGTATATACACATATACACATATATGTATGCATACGTATATACACATATACACATATATGTATGTATACGTATATACACATATACACATATATGTATGTATACGTATATACACATATACACATGTATGTATGTATACGTATATACACATATACACATGTATGTATGTATACGTATATACACATATACACATGTATGTATGTATACGTATATACACATATACGCATATATGTATGTATACGTATATACACATATACGCATATATGTATGTATACGTATATACACATATACGCATATATGTATGTATACGTATATACACATATACGCATATATGTGTGTATACGTATATACACATATACGCATATATGTGTGTATACGTATATACACATATACGCATATATGTGTGTATACGTATATACACATATACGCATATATGTGTATATACACATACATATAATATATACATATCTACACACATAATATATAAATGTATACATATATACACATATATAATATATAAATGTATACATATATACACATATATAATATATAAATGTATACATATATACACATATATAATATATAAATGTATACATATATACACATATATGTATATATACACATACATATATACATATGTGTGTATGTATATATATGTGTGTTATGTGTACCTATATACACATATATGTGTATATATATTCACACATATATACATACATATATACATATATACACATATGTATGTACATGTGTGTGTGTACATACACACATATACACATGTATATATACACACATATACATATATACACATATACACATACATATATACACATACACATAATACACACATATATACATACATACATACATATATACACATATGTATGTGTATATGTATGTGTATATACACATAACACACACACATATATACATACACACATATATATACATACACACATATATATGTATATATTATATGTATGTGTATATGTACACACACACACATACACACACATACAGAGGTGGGGTGGGGAGAGAGAGAGATTTATTGTTAAGAATTTGCTTACAAAACTGTGGAGCCTGGAAAGTTTCAAGATCTACAGTCAGCAAACTGGAGACTTGGGAGAGCCAATGGTTTAGTTCTATTCTGAGTCTCAATGCCCAGGATCCCAGAGAGCTGACGGTGTGGTTCTAGTCTGAAGGCCAACAGGCTCAATACCCAGGAAGAGCTGGTCTTTCAGTTCAAGTCTAAGGACAGGAAAAAAGCCAGTGCCCAAGTTCAAAAGCAGTCAGGCAGAGAGGAATACAGCCTTTTTATTCTATTCAGGCCATCAACTGATTGATTGGATGTGGCCCACCCATATCGGGAAGGGCAATATCTTTTACTCAGAGTCCTCCAATTTAAATGTCAATCTCATTCAAAAACACCCTCACAGATATACCCAGAATAATGTCTGACCAAATATCTGGGCACTCTATGGTCCAGTCAAATTGACACATAAAATCACCCATCATGCCAGGGCACCAACCAAATCTACCCACTGTTCAGCTAGGGAAAGAGAGCACCCAAAATCTGACATACTCTAATACTCTAACATCTGCCACTCTGCATTTCCTATTTTCCAGAGCCCCTTTTTCCAAAAGGAATATTCTCAATGTGACTAGCTAGCTACAGTGTGTGGTTCTGCTAGTTACCATTACCTGAGGCATATTTAGAAGAGACTGGATGTGAGAGGCCACTGACCAGCAGGAGGGTGGGGCAGAATGGCACATGCCCAAGATGATGTGGCTGGTTTCATTGCAGGATCCTTTCTGTGGTGCCCAAGGGCTCATGCAGAAGGATGGGCTCTGACCTTATCTCCCTCCCCTTGTTATCCCTGAATACTAGTTCTTCATCCCTAAACTCAACCCCTTCCTCCCCCTGTAGCTCTGGAAAGGATGATTTCTCAAAAATCAGAGGAACATTTAAAAATGAGTAATATGGGATCGGGAGTAGTGGAGCAACTTCTGGATAAGAAAGTAATTATAAGAGCATGCATAGACTCAGGTCATGGGAATCTCCTATGTGGTAAGACCCCCAACATGGCCCATCTCCCAAGGCTGATGAAAACAGTTGCTGGACAACTGCGCCCCAAGAAGACTTCCTTGGCCCTGGTTCATTCTAGTTTATACAGTCATCAGGTAGAAGCCCTGAAAGAATTGCCATCGAGGATTCTAGAAAAAAATAAGGTGTACACTAATGGACAAAAGTGAAAAAGGAGGTGAGCTGGGTTCAGTCTGATTATCAGAAAGTATGGAATATATTATACTCACTAGGTGAAGGAAAGCTTTCTCAGGTATTCTGCTTCTAAACTCTTTTCCTGATTTAACCCTGAAACAGGCTTGCAGGGATTCCAACCATGGTCACAAGTTGTACACTGCATATGCATATTTGTGCAATATGTAACATTCAAAAAAATATGCCCAGCAGATGCCAGGCATGGCACTAGTTACTAGAAAAAAAAACACACAAAATAGCGTACTAATCTGTTCCATTTGCAAAGAGCAATATCATTTTTACATACATGATCCCTATTTAATCCTTACAACTAATTTCTGAGCTATGTATTATAATCCCTATTTATAAATGAGACTCGGGGGGTTAAATACTTTATCCGATATTGTGTAAATAGAAGGTAGCAGAGTTGGTATTACTAAGGCAAGTCAACACATACCAGCAATGGGCACTAAGGAAACGCCTCCCACAGTAATCTCAGAGTGTTGCAAAAGAGCTTCTAGAGTGGATAATGACACCATCCTGAAATCCCCAGTATCCTTTTCTATGTTGTGTTCCCCAAGCTCATCAAGCATTCTGGACTCTGAGGCCCCACTCCAATTCTTTCTCCATCACCCACCAAAGTCTGCTTTCAGAAAAAGCTCTAGTATTAATTAAAGGACCATTCAAGGTGAGCAGCAGTTGGTCTGTGACCTTGCCCAAGGGTAACTGTGCATTAAATCTTCTTCCTACTTGCAAAATGAAGGTCATTGTTCCCCACTAAGGGAAAAGAGGTTCTCCCACCAGTGAGAAAAGAATCAGGGAGAAGTTGGAAGAGATGTTTGAGAAATCATTAAGACCTCCCTTCAAAATGGTACCACAAAGATTTCATTCCATGTGTCAGTCAAGACTCCAAGAAGAAGCATACTCAACCATTTTGACTAGCTTTCATTCCTCATTTATTCATTCTCCCAGAATTTATTTTCCTCTGATTATTTTTTAACTGATAAAAATTTATAACTTATGTATGTATTGCATACAGCATATTATTAAAATTTTGTTATCTCTTATGTGCCAAATATTGAGAGATGAGTAAGATACAAGACTTAATGTCCTACTGAAGTAGAGAGAGAAATACAAATAAGCAGATGATCACAGTTCAGGTGCCACAGCAGAACTGTGAGCTATGGGTTCCTGCAGAAACTAACTAACAGAGCCCGAGTAGAAAAGCATCACAGAAGATGGAAATGGGAGCTAAGCTTTGAGGGATAAAATGAAATTTCTAGACATGGAGTAGGAAGAAGCATGTTTCGGGCAAAGGAAGCTATGTGAACAAAGGCACAGAGGTATGGAAGGCATGGAATGTTAGTGGCAGAAACAGGGTGTGCCCTACACACTGTGTCTGATGTGGTGAGAGCAGTAGCTGGAAGGGAAATGTGAACTTAATCTGGAGCAAAGGGAAATCAAGAGAGATTTTCAAGGAGAGGAGAAACATGCTCAGAACCCAAAGTGACAACCACATTGTAGGTGCCCAATTATATGTTGATTAAGCATTAAGCTTTGTTTTTTAAAAATATAACTGGTATCTTGTATAGTGTATGGATTTGGTAGGCAAGGGGATGAGACAGCAAGCAGAAAGAAAGGCAGCATCATCAAGGATGAGGTTTCTCAGAGCCCAAGATCAGAGACATCTTTATGCCCCACTTCAACTTGAAAAGGCCCTTTCTCTGAGATGGCTTACATGAGAAGCCCTTGAACTATTTCATGGAGCATAGTTTTTTGATGGAAATGAGGCTCTCCACCCACCAATATTTTTTTCATCTTTTCTATGTTTAAAATTCTCTACAAACACATCTTTTAAAACTATGAAAACAATCTTGTTCAGAAGAAATCATGGAACTATTTGATGGACAAACATATATTACAAGCCACAAGCTTAGAATTTCAAAGCAACTTCCTGGGGCTCAGGCAGACATTCCTAACCCTGAGTTCCTTTGTTCCCACTATGGTCCATGGCCAGGCTTAGACAGGATGAGGGGCCTTCTCTTGGTTAAAGTTGGTGATAAACTATTGCAAAAAAGAGTACTACATCTTTCCATACTCTTTATAGCGGATTTGAACCATAATCCCCAAAGACCCAGCAATAAACTCCACAATCCCGAATGGTGAAATCCTGAAAGATCAAAATCTCTAAAGTCTAAAATCCTGAAAATCATAATCACAGGATAGTTGCATCATGTTAGGCCAGTTCTTATGGGCTATCTCCATGTGAATGCCCATAAACTATCCCTGTAATCCACTATTTTATATGTCGAATTTTCTTTTTAGTTTATTGTGCTTTGGTTTTCAGTTTTTTCCCTTTTTCTTTTTTTAGTTTTTTTCACCATTTTTCATTTTCAGCACATTTTTAAAAATTTTCTACACTATGTATTTCGTATTCACATTATTTCCAGTAGTGGAAGTATAAGTTATATAGAGACTTTTAGAGCATTCTAATCTGTTTTATGCATTTTTTGCAAACTTGACTCCACGAAAGTCCATTATCACAACATTGACGTTGCATGTTAACATTGTGCGTGTACATAAAAACTTTAAAATTTCCTCAGTAAATGAAGAGATGTCCTTTTGGTACATCTGCATTTATGAAAGATAAAATTTCTCAAGATCTGGCTTTTTGAACAAGTGCATATGCAGTGGTGACCCATCATGGTTTTTGAACAATCTTGTCAAAGGCTTACGTTGTCTATCACAATATTTCAGATGACTGCAGTGATAAAGTTGGGTGCACACAATTGCCATTTATAATATGTGTTTATATATTTCCCTTTTTTATCTATTTCTTTATAGATGTGGTTCATCTGCTCACAAGTATTGTACCAGTGCAACTGTCATTAGCATAACTGAATCCTTATGCTTGCAAAAATATGTACGTTCTTCTTGCCTATTTTATTGTGTAAAGTGGCCTGTGAAGTGTCCTGTCATGTTTTTATATTTCTCAAATAAATCCCCATTTTAAAATGTAAGTAAATGCCTTTTTAAAATGTTTTAAATTATTTTTTCCAGAGTTAAATTTTGGGGATTTTGATCTTTTAGGATTTCAACATTCAGGATTATAGTGTTTGGGATTGTATCTTTCAGGTTTACACTTAGCTTATTGGCTTACTGGTTTATTATGGCCTGGTTCATGGAGAGCCTACTATGTGCAAGGAATTGTGGGGTCTACTAAATGTCTTTAAACTCTAAGATATAAACTGATGAAATATTAAAGCATAGGAAAAGCAAACAACACCTCAAAAGAGAATTCTACCAGAAGCTATTAGAAGGCAGTAAACAGCAATCTACTAATGGGTGACACGAACAATAACTGCTAGGAAATCATGGCCATTGTTCACATTGAAGTCACATTTCCCTTAATAGAAAGCATATAGAAGACTGCACAGTTTAACATGCACCTATGGGTCTAGGAGATGTAGGGTTAATTTGCATAACCCCAGATGAGATTCTTTCAGCCATCAATTGTCATGAACTGGATGATATTTTTGTGTGTTTAGCTCTCTAGTAGACATCACGGGACGGGCAGAATGAGTAAAAGGCTTGGTCTCTTCTCTCCAGGAGACTCCAGTTGAATTTAAAAGCATATCCAATCAATAGTATAGGATAAGTAATGGCAATGTGAGGCTTACTAGAGATACAAGTAGAGTAAAAGAAACTATTGATCTACAACAGAGGTTTTATGTTGTAAAAAGAGACCTAGGACAGAGAGCATGAGGCCAGATTACAATGATCCCCACCACTCAGTTATAAAATTCTGAACTTGACTTCTCAACAATGAGGAGCCACTCTAGAAACTATGCTGATTCAGGTGTGAGCTGACTGCATGGCTTAGGGAGTTTGACTGCATTATGACCAAAGAAAGAGAAAGAATCAGTTGGCACTCACCTAGGTGGTATCTGGAGTAATGGACTTTCTGTGGACTTCTGCAAGTGTATTAGTCAAGGTTCTCTAGAGAAACAGAACCAAAAGGATGGATGAGGGGAGAAAGAGAGGGAGAGAGATTTTAGAAAACTGACTCACACGAGTGTGGAGTGGGCAAGGCTAAAATCTGCAGGATAGGCCAGGAAGATAGAGGTCCATGGAAGAGTTGATGGTGTACCTTGAGTCCAAAGACAGTTGACAGGCAGAAATCTCTCTTCCTCAAGAGGCTTTAGTCTTTTACCTCTTTAGGTCTCCAACTAATTGTTGAAGTCCCAACCACATTATGGGGGTTAATCAGCTTTAAGCAACATCTACTAATTTAAATATTGATCTGATCTAAAATATACCTTCACAGTGACATTTAGATAGGTGCTTGACCAAATATCTGGGTACCACGCCCTAGCAAAGTTGACACATAACATTAGCCATCATAGAAAGGAAACCAGGTTTCTTTCTTATCCCTCCAACCTTGCTTCCTCTTCCTAGTGGCTTGGTTTCCTGTAAAGTACTAAGCCTGATTGGAGTGAATGTTTTGATCTTACTTAAATATTAGGCCAAGTGCAGTGGCTCATGCCTGTAATACCAGCACTTTGACGGGCCGAGGCGGGTGGATCACTTGAGGTCTGAAGTAGGAGACCAGCCTGGCCAACATGGTAAAACCCTGTCCCTACTGAAAAATACAAAAATTAGCTGGGCATGGTGGCACATGCCTGTAGTCCCAGCTACTTGGGAGGCTGAGGCAGGAGAATCACTTGAACCTAATAGGCAGAGGCTGCAGTGAGCCATGATCGTGCAACTGCACTCCAGCCAGGGCAACAGAGTGAGACCCTGTCTCAACAACAACAAAAAAAAGAAAGAAAGAAAGAAAGAAACATTAAAAAGCATTCAGTCAATCTAAAGTAGAGCCAGTTCTTCTCCAGCAATAGGAAAACGTTCCTTGTCTTCCTAAATCCACTTTTCTCAAGACCTCTATCAGCTACATCTCTTCTCCCATTTGGTAGTCATTCTCAGGTTGACCCTGAGAATCTATCTCTTGTTGACTCACCTCTGTTCTGCAGTAAACAACCTGGTAAAACAGTTTACAAGAAACTCATGTCATTAGGGCTGTGTTTTGTTTCGGTTTGGTTCAAAGATTTCTGAACCAGCTCTCCAACTTCATCTAGCTTGTAATTTACGGTGGTTTGACATGTCTTATGAGGGGGAGAGAGATGACTTTCATTTAATATTAACCAAGCAGCTTTCTGCCACTTCCTCTTTTCCATTGTTTCACTTTAATAAACAATGGATTTAGCAAGTTGTTTAAAGTCGGCTGGGCTCTGAAGCATTCTTCTAAGTATTCTGCCTCACACATGACCTTCTGAAGATTTTACTCAACATCTGTTTAGAAAAACACACACACATACCAAACACACAAGACCCAAATAAACTATGCATTGTTTCTAAGTAATGGTCATAATGTACTTGATGTTTCTTGAAAGGGAAGTACCAAGCAAAAAAAAAAACAAAAAATTGTTTTCCCCCCAAATTATTCATGCTGAACAGGAAAAAAAAAAAATTGAAGTCAGAAACATTAACCCACAGATAGTAACTACCTTTCCAGCCGGGGAGGGATTAAAAATAGCACTTAGAAATTTCTAGTTAAAATGGCGCTCATCTTTACCAAATTCACTCTACGCATTGCTGAGGGTACAGGGAAATATGGTAATGTGCTATGCCAAAAACTCAGGTTTAGAGGTTATATAATGTCAGACTCTGTTAGTCATTTCCAGTGAGGAGAGCTGGGTTAAGAAACAACAAATCAGATTTCTCCTCACGGCAACTGATATGGCTTCTTGGATCTGGTCCCCACCCAAATCTCATGTCAAGTTGTAATCTTCAGTATGGAAGGTGGGGCCTGGTGGAAGGTGATTGGATCATGGGGGTGGATATCATGAATGATTTAGCACCATCCCCCTGATGCTGATCACGTGATAGTGAGTCCATTCTCCCAAGATCTGGTGGTTTACAAGTGTGTGGCACCCGCCCGGTCTCTCCCTCTTGCTCCTGCTCCAGCCAGGTGAGATGTCTGCTCCCGCTCTGCCTTCTGACATGATTGAAAGTTTCCTGAGGTCGCCCCAGAAGCTAAGCAGATACCAGCATCCTGCTTCCTGTACAACCTATGGAACCATGAGCCTATTAAACTTTTCTTTATAAATTATCTCATCTCAGATATTTCTTTATAGCAATGTGAAAATGGACTAATACAACAGAATTAGGCTTCCCTATTGGAAACAAATAGGAAAAGATATCTTACAGAAATAGCTGGGCTAAAAGAAGGGAGGCAGTGATTCCCTGCCCTTCAGGGGAGAGCAAAAAATGCTGTGTGCTGCAAGGAGTAAAGAGAAATCCTAGAAGCAGTTACTCCCATCCTCTATCAGTTCTGGGTACAAACATAAAACAAAGTGATCCAAAAAGTTCTAAGAATAAGCAGAGATATGTCAGGTAAGTTGCAATAACTAAAATAGGGATAGCTGTATTTATGGCAGAAAAATTAGAATTCATAGTCAAAAGCATGAAACATTCCAAAGAGGGTTCTGTTACGGTGCTAAAGGGTAGAATTCACAATGAATATTTAAATGGCAATTCTAGGTATTTAGTATTAAACTGAATGGTAAAATATTTTGGCTTCTAGTGTAGTTACATTATAAATAAAGCCTACTAGACATAAAAATGTCCATTTCTTTAATCACTTAAAAAGAAAACATTCTAGACTATGTACCGGGATACACTGAGAAAGGACTTCAGTGTGTCTGATCATTTGGTAGCAAGAAGTAGGAACAAAATTGCTATTCTAAGACTTCCAGAAACACGCTTTCTGTGATCCTTAGGTTGGAAGCTTGGATTTACTTAAAAATAAATGGCAGACATTTTGTTCTGAGAGGCACTTCAAGGTGAGTCTCCTTCGGCATGCAAATGTCCTCTGTAAAGGTACCTATTCTTTAACCATGGAAGCTCTAGCTGTCCATAAAGTCACTGCAACCCAAACACTGCAATCTGAGATGTCAAGTATTCTCTTCATTATTGCAAGGAGTCATTCTGCTTCCACGGAAGAAGGAAGAGCATGCCTCTGGGTTGAGTCTATTACCATAGAAACAGGAGTCACAACTGCAGGTAACTTACATAAATTAGTGGGCCAGGTGGGGACTGTGAAAAATTCAAAGCTCAAAGCCATCAATAGAGCAGCCTTATGACATGACAATGTGGTCCCAATACTGTTGGGTCTTCCCATGAATAAAGGCAGCCACAAATCCCGAACTTTTTACCATAATTCACTGACTCTCAGATGTAATACTTTACACATTTTAACAGGTTTAAAGTCAGGATATGTATTATAATCAATAGTGTCTTACAGTTATAATTGGCAACAATGTTTTTATTTCCTTAGTGGTATGTAAAATAATGATGTATCTTAAAATCAATCATGGCATCTTAATTTTATAAAATTTTATAAAATCTCCATATAGCTAAATGTTGGTAACTGATTCAAGCAAAACGAAACAGAAAACCCCACTGTAAAGCCCCCCCACAATAAAAAGTAACTGAGCTACCAGTTTATAATGTTTCATAAAAAGACGTTTCAGCACTCGCCTCCTGGAACGTTTTTAAAAGGACAACTGGCAAATATTTTATTTGTACCACATAAAATTGTTATAATTGATAGAAATGAACTGATTTGTCAAAGGCTAAGAAACTTGACCAAAAAAAAAAAAAGCTAAAATGGCCTACATTATATGAAATAAGATTTAAGAGATAAAAATTGTACCATGTGTAGATAGAACATACCTTCTTTTCTAGTGATCAGGGAATATTTATAAAAGTTAACCATATATTAAAGTGCTTAAAAGTCACTAAACTGCAAAAATCAAAAGTAGTCTAGACCAGAGGTCAGCAAACTATGAACCACAGACAAAATTCACCCCTTTGTCTGCTTTTGCAATTAAAGTTTAATTGGAACATCACCATTTGAGGCATAACTTATTAACAGACTGTCTAATGCTGTTTTCCTGCTACAATGGCTGAGTTGAACAGTTTCAGCAGAGACTATCCACCTGCAAAGCCCTGCCATCTGGCCCTTCACAGAAGTTTACCTATCACTGCTTTACATCAAAATCTATGAACACAATATGATTTCTAAAAAAAGAAAATCATAGTAATCATTTTAATTCATGAGTGAAACCAACTTAAAAACTAGGCTACAAAACATACCTTTAAGAAATTTCTGTACAAAATTGGAAATACATTCAAAAATTTTAAGGTGGGAAGAAAAAAATAAAATAAACATATACATAAATAAAAAGAAATTATAAACACAAACCACAATTGCAAATTATCCAGAAAAATAATAAGATACAAACACTATATAACTAAACAAGTTTGGGGCCACCATTGTTCTCAGAGGAACATTCATGCCATTAGAAGCTCTTCTTACTAGATTACAAAGCTTTCAAAATGTTGGGGAAAGGTCATTTCTTCACTGTTTAAAAAATATACTAGGCCACAGAAAACAATAGAAAGTTAACTGGTGATTTACTTCATCAAGTTATACTTACCTTCTCTGAAATCTGACAAACAGCCCACTCAAAAACACAGCTGCAAAATAATCCCATTGGCAAAATACGTAAGCAAAACTCTGAAATAGAGTAGTGGTAAATGAATCCATCAATTATTAGAAAAATACTTTTTTTAATAAATCAAGTTTTACTCTAGAAACGCCTGAATTATAATATTAGAAATCCATTAACTGAATTTAGATTATCAGTGAAGAAAACTAGAGTCCCTGTACTTTGTGGACAGAAGTTCACTGGTTTTGAAAGCCCTTATTCTAAGAAGAAAAGAGAATGCAATGAATTAAGATGACAGAGTATAAAAAATGTAAACTGATAAACATCTTAGAGGAGATATAAGGAAGAAGAATATTTTAGATATTAAGAATATTCCATTCTTAATAACGAGCTGGTTAGGGTTGCAAGTCAGCCCACTGACCTTTCCAGTTCCCCCCGTCACCACTTTCTGCTCCTCCCCTTCAGTCCCTTATTCTCCAAGTTAAACTGTTTGAAATGTCCTGAAAGTGCCACGCTCTTCTCTGTGGCACGCTAGGAGCTCTTTTGTTGTTGTTCTTCAGGTGCCTTCCTTCCTTCTATAACTTGCTACTTATCCTTTAGGACTCAGCAAGATGTCACTTATTCTGGGAAACCTTCCCTGCCCATCCTCCAAGGATGTGTCAGATATTCCTTCTAATGACTAATCACGTCATATGGACCCCTTAGCACTGATAATGTGTATTGTAAATGTCTGCTGCTTGCCTCTTCTAAAGCTCCTGAGGGCAGATACTCACTGACTCTTATCAATATTGTATCCCTAGTGGCTGGGACTTTGTATGGCATAGAAAAAAAAAATCGGTAGAATGAGTAAAGTACTTTTAAACTCTCTTACCCTTTTGCTTTCACTGTGGCAGTATCACAACGAAAGCCCAGTACTCTCTTCAAAGCTGCTAGTACCTACCATCCCACTTCATACCCCAACATCATCATTTTGTGCATAAAGGGTAAAATATGAATGTCTTACGGATGTTCAAGGTGCTCATACACTAGCCCAAACCTGGGCCCTTCTGCCCGTGATTTCCCAACACAAACCATCCCATTTGGGCACGCTGATCCCAACTGCTCCTCAGGCATATCTTATGCTCCCCTGACTCCACATCTTAGTTCACACCATTTCCCCTTCCTCAAGCATCTTCTGATATTCTATCCATAGATCCAATTCTCCATCTGTCAAGGACTAGCTGAGGGTCTAATCCTTATAATGCCTTCTTTTACACTCAACTCTTATGTTAGCTTTTATATTAGTTTATGTTGGCACTATTTGTTAGCCACTTAGTTTATACAAATACACACACACACACAAAGTCAGTGCCTCTAGTCTCTGTTCTCTTATACGATGAGCTCATTAATTCATCCCAAAGCTCTCTCTACTAGACCCCAGGGACAGAGAGTTCAAAGAAAACATGGACGCCTTCCTCAAATAATTCAGTCTGGTATTTTTAAAGAAATACGTATAATCAGACAATTATAGTACAATGTGAAGAATAAACCCATTTAAAATACCATACCTTTGCAGTCCAAAACATGATACTAGATGATTGATAGGTATAAATACAGGTAAACTTTTTGGAAATGATTTTTATTTTTAAAAAGATAGAGAATCTGACACCCAATAAAGTTAAACCAATTGTTGGTAATCAACAAAAAAATAGCCATGGGACAACAAACAAGTCATGACTTTGATCTTCAGCTCTTTTTATCTTTTTTTTCTTTCTTTCTTTTTTTTTTTTTTTTTTTTTGAGAGGGGGTTTCACTCTTGTTGTCCAGGCTGGAGTGCAGTGGTGCAATCTTGGCTCACTGCAAACTCCACCTCCCGGGTTCAAGCAATTCTCCTGTCTCAGCCTCCTGAGTAACTGGGATTATAGGTGCCCACCACCACACCCAGCTAATTTTTGTATTTTTTTTTTAATAGACACAGGGTTTCACCATGTTGGCCAGGCTGGTCAAGAACTCCTGACCTCAGACGATCCACCCACCTCAGCCTCTCAAAGTGCTGGGATCACAGGCATGAGCCGCCGCACCTGGCCTTCTTCAGTTCTTTCTTTAGTTGATGTCTCCAGAAATCTGCTTTTTTCCTTCAATATTTTCTTCCCAATCTTCTCAAGACAACATTCACCTAGAGATGTTAGGTAAACAAATATTTCCCTAGTCCTCACACATATGTCTGACATCATATCACATAGCTATCAACCAGTTTCTCACACTTTTGCTAAGAATTCTCTTCTCTTAAACCTGAGATTGCCACTGTCAAAAGCTTTTTCTATTACTGTGGCTATACTCAAAGTTCCAGAACAACAAAATGCATGCAAAGAAGCCCACTGGAAGCTTCTGGAAAGTTGTGCTTAGATCTCCTGCGATGGTCCCAGAAGCAGAATCATCACAGGAGGCTCTGTCCTCTGCTGCCATAGTGGGAGGACTGAAGTTTATTGCTTTTAAGGGAGCCTGTGAATATTACATGATGTAAGATTAAAAGTGTTGGAAAAGTCATTCTGAGATAAGTAGAATTCAGTTTTCTCAAATATAAAATGATGGGATTGAACCAGGTTAGAGTTCCCTACATAGGCAGTTACTACGAAGAGAAAAAAGGAGAGGGTGAAATTGAAGTTCACTGTGCTCACCTGAGGGCCAGGCGGGGACAGAGGTGAATACAAGGGGCTTAAAATCGCCCTCACTAGCAAGCGCTCTCTACAGTCATGATAAGTTCTTATATTCACTAAATTTTTGTCAAATTAGAGCTATACGAAGGCAAACCTATAACATAAGAAAACACCATTTTCTGCCTCTCTCTATTACCTTATTTCTCTCCTTGGAATCTCATGATTAGGATTAGCAAATGCTAAGTAAATCTAAGCCTCTTCCTTCATCAGAATTCAGCCGGCCTATGTTAAGTGGCATTATTGTGCTATGGTGCATGATAACTAGCTAATCTACAAATCTGTTGGTGAATATTGGAATTATATTAAACTTTGATCCAATAAATGAACATATTGGCATTTTTACAAGGACTGTTTATAGACAATGCTGTATTCCACCATTTCTCAAACTCAACACACAAGTCCTTTTGAAAGCACAGGAGAAAGGGAGGACCACACCAATCAGTGGAAGGCCATGGTGCAGGTCAGGCTGCCTGGCAGCAGGTGAGAGGAAGAGCCCAGGGACACAAGAAGAAAAGCATTGTGTCCAGGACTGCAGCAGGATGGCCCCATCCATTCAGGGATGTGAGTTATTCAAGATCCTGAACCCTCTGCCCAGCACCATTCTCAGGTCTAAGGACGTAAAAGGATGACAGCAGCAGCAGCGGTAGCTCCAGAAAGTTGTGTCAGTGATATTATAAGCATCAGAGAGAAGGAACTTACTTCCTGGAACAATATTGTAGAGGCATCCTTGGCACCAACATGAGGGTCTATCACCAGCCTTGTGTCTACACCATGGCCTATCTGAGTACAGAGAGTTCTAGAGAGGGACTTCCCACAGCTGAGACTCCAGCCCTCTGGAAGCCAGGTTCTTACCTTCCCTGGGTAAAAAACACAGATGTGGGAAGCCCGGGAGACCCAGACCTGGAAGTGGGAGTGTAGGTAGTTCAGCTGCCATATCTGAAACTGAGCTGGCCAGGTAGCCAGATAGTCCATGGGTCCAAATTCCACTAAAAGAGTGGGGAAGGGAGGGTGAAGGCCACATAAGCTGCTTCCCAGAGACCCAGATGTAGTTATGGGATAGAAGAAATGCACTGGTCACTCTGTATGTCTCTGCTGATGGCACTGCCGATAGCCCATTGTCATCATCCTGGGTGCTTAAAGACCTGCTCAGGGAACTGGAGCTCTGAAGAAAAGGGTTTTGGGCTCGGTTCAGTGGCTCATGCCTGTAATCCCAGCACTTTGGGAGGCCAAGGCAGGTAGGTTACTTGAGGTCAGGAGTTCAAAACCAGCCTGGCCAATATGGTGAAACCCTGTCTCTACTAAAAATATAAAAAAGTGAGCCACGCGAGGTGGTGCGCACCTGTAATCCCAGCTACTCAGGAGGCTGAGGCAGGAGAACAGCTTAAAATGGGGAGGCGGAGGTTGCAGTGAGCAGAGATCACACAACTGCACTCCAGCCTGGGCAACAGAGTAAGACTCCATCTCAAAACAAAAACAAAAACGAAAACAAAAACAAAAAACAGGATTTTGGTTTGAGTCTCATCGAGAGAAAGAAGAAAAGTTGCAACTCCTGGCGGGATAGACCAAATGACAGCAATGTCACAAACTGAGAAGTGCAAAGTGAGCAGCATCCACACATTCTAATGGCCTTAAAAACTGAAGGGGAATTTGTATTATTTATTCACTTTCAAGGTGGAGGATTATATGGTGATGAACATCATTTATTGTAGTTTTGTAATTTCAAAATTTACAAATGTGATATTGCTATATTAAAATGAGAAACATCTACATCATCACAGAGGATTGTTAAAAATTGATTGAAAATGAGCAATTGATAGCCATATATTATCCAAAGTCTTTCCCTATACACAATGACTAGTTAAAGGGTGCACTGCAAAGATGACCCTCATTAAAAATAGCACAAGAAAGATGTACCTGGATGTAAATTTAACAAAAAATGTGCTACTGGTAAATGCAAAAGAATTCTTAAGTAAATAAAATGGAAATATGCATTCTTGAAGAGAATGGCATCACAAAGATAATAATTCTTGCTAAATTAAGTACGAACCAAGTGCATAACAATGGGATTTTTCAACTATACAAGTTGACTTTAAAGTTGATGTAAAATAAAATAAGAAGAGTCATTGCAATTGTGAAAAAGATTAATGAGGCCGGGCGCGATGGCTCACGCCTGTAATCCCAGCACTTTGGCAGGCCGAGGCAGGTGGATCACGAGGTCAAGAGATCGAGACCATCCTGGCTAACACGGTGAAACCTTCTCTCTACTAAAAATACAAAAAATTAGCCCGGCGTGGTGGCGGGCACCTGTAGTCCCAGCTACTCGGGAGGCTGAGGCAGGAGAATGGCGTGAACCGGGAGACGGAGCTTGCAGTGAGCTGAGATTGGGCCACTACACTCCAGCCTGGGCAACAGAACGAAACTCCGTCTCAAAAATTAAAATAAAATAAAATAAAAATAAAAGAAAGGAAAATATTAATGAGGAGGAAACAGCTTTATCATATATTAAAATGCATCATAAAGTTTAAAATAAACAGTTAAGTATCTGAACAGAGAGATTAATGTAACATACTAGGAAGTCCAGAAATATACTCAAATAAGAATTAAAATACAGTAAATTATATAGGAAGTATTTCAAGTAAACTGTTAAAACTTAAGGCTTTTTTAAAATAAATGTTTTAGGGACTAGAGTAACCATCATGAGGAAAAAATAAAATTGGCTCCCTATTTCATACCATACATCATCAAAATAAATTTTAGATGGATCAGGGATTTAAATCTTTAAAAATTAAAAGCATAAATAGTGCTACAAAAATATGAGTTTTTGATTGTAATCGCAGAATGGAGAGAGTTTTTCCAAATATAACACAAAACTGAGAAGTCATAATATAAAGACTGACAGAGTTTCACCTTCTGGCCATGATGAGGTAACCCCTATGACATTAGTTTCTTCACTATAAACAATTATAAGGCCAGGCACGGTGGCTCACGTCTGTAATCCCAGCACTCTGGGAGGCTGAGGCAGGCAGATCACTTGAGCTAAGGAGTTCGAGACCAGCCTGGCCAACATGGTGAAACCCTGCCTCTATCCAAAATACAAAAAATTAGCTGGACGTGGTGGTGGGTGCTTGCAGTCCTAGCTACTGGGGAGGCCAAGATGGGAGGATTGCTTGAGCTTGGGAGGCAGAGGTTGCAGTGAGCTGAGATCATGCCACTGTACTCCAGCCTGGGCAACAGAACAAGACTCCATCTCAAAAAAATAAATAAATAAAACTGGACAAGCTATACAAAGCAATTCTTTTAAGATGTTGGATAAGTCAAGATAGCTATAATTTGTGAGAGTAGGAAAATTCAGGAGGTAAGCTGAATTTGACAATCCTGGTGAGTTTAGGAGGAAGAGATCAGAGTTCAAAGCAGCTGATTTTACAGGGAAAGATGTAGGAGAGAGAGGCAGATGTGCAGAGTTGGGGGCTCCAACAATCTGTGTTAGGTACATGAGCCCACAATGAGATCTAGACTGCACAGGCACAAGACAATTCCATTCACGGTTTTCCAGAGAGCAACTGCAACAGGGTTGAAAAGAGAACCTGGCTTCTAGAGGTTGGACTGTGCTGAGGTAAGAGCAGTACCAGGGAGTTCTGACCCCGCCAGAGTGGAGAATCCTCATTAATTTCTCGACATCAGGCTGAATTTCCAGAAAACCTTTACTTAAAAGTAAGGATAAAGCTCTAGAGCAAGACTTATTCTAGACTTTCTGAAAATCAGTAACACTTAAAACTAAGCCCTGACAAGATGTTATGGAAGAGGGACTTTGGGAGTTGAGATCCCTTTTGTTATAAGGGACTGCCAAGACTTAAAGGGGCTTGGGAAATATATCCACTCAAATAAAGCATAAAGTCTATTCTATACAAATTCAAAATGACCAACCACTAATTTCACTGCCTGCTAAAACATGCCTCAATAATCTTCAAAGAAATATGACAGAATTCAGAATCCTTACAGTGTTTTATTCCAAATGTCCAATATTCAATAAAAGCCACTAAAAATATTTTTTAAAAAATAAAGAAAATGTAACCTATCGTAAAGGAAAAAATTAATCAATAAAACAAGTTCAGATGTTATATTTAGCAGATTAAGAGTCTAAGGAAGTGGTGGCAGGTTGTATCTTCCGAAGATGGCTACAACAATATCCTACCCCATATGCTCTTTTTCAAAGTGTATGTGCCAATCTCCCATGGTCTGGTTTTGGAACTTTTTAACCAGTAGAATACATGGAAGTGTCATAACGAGACACCCTGGACAAGCAAGGTCTTAAGAAGCCCTACAGCTACCACCTGTGCCTCTTGAAACATTCGGCTGTCATGATGTGGGAGTTCAAGCCACATAGAGAAGCCACATGGAGATGCTGTGTTTGACAATTTCAACAGAGTTGGGTCCAGTGGACAATCAGCAACAACATGTGAATGGTCATCTTGGATGTCTAGCCCGGTCTGTGTGAATACAGAGTTATAGAAATTATTCAATCTGTGGAAAAAAATGGAAGAAAAATAAATACATTCTCGTGAACCTGTGGGAAAATATCAGATGATATATAACCTACGTGTAATAAGAATTTCAGGAAGATAATAGGGTAAGATGGGGCAGAAAAGAATATTTGAAGAAATAATAACTAGAAACTTTCATAAATTTGCTTTTTTTAAAAACTGATTTACAGATCCAAGAAGCTCAATAAACTCCAAGCAGGATAAACATGAAGAGAAAAGAACCACTCTGAGGATGATCATCACAAAATTGATCCAAAGATGCCTTAAAATCAGCCAGAGAAAAAAGATTAATTACATGGAAGGGAGTGTAGATAATAAAGACTATTAATTTTTGATCAGAAGCAATGGAGGTCAGAATTTAATGAAATGACATCTTTAAAGTGAAAAAAAAAAAAACCAACTATGTCCACAATTTTATATCCAGCAAAAATAAGGATATTTCAGAAAATCAAAAACTGAGAGAATTTGTTCAGTAGGTTTTTTTTTTTTTTTTAGTACTGAGTATCACTCTGTCACCCAGGCTGGAGTGCAATGGCACAGTCTCAGCTCACTGCAACCTCCGCCTCCTGGATTCAAGCTACTCTCATGCCTCAGCCTCCCGTCCTGAGTAGCTGGGATTACAGTCATGCACCACCACACCGGGCTAATTTTTGTGTATATATATACAAATATATATATATATATTTTTAGTAGGGATGAGGTTTCACCATGTTGGCCAGCCTGGTCTCGAACTCCTTACCTCAAGTGATCTGCCTGCCTCAGTCTCCCAAAATAGGTTTACAAGCGTGAGCCACCATGCCCAGCCTGTTCAGTAGATCTTTACTAGAAATAGTACTAAAACATAGCCTTAAGTCAGAAGGGAAATGACACCAGATGAGAACTAGGATTTATAGGAAGGAATGAAGAGAAACAGAAGTGGTAAATAAATGAGTAAATACAATTTTTTTCTTCTCTAATTTATTTAAAGCATAACTGACTGTTGAAAGCAAATATAATATCACCAGAAAGAAGGTTTATAATATATAAAAGTAATATATGTGATAACTATACTTAAAGTATAGGGGGTGGGTAAATGGAATTAATTTTATTATGTATAAATTATATCACAATAAAGTTGACTGAAAAATATTGAATATTGATCACATAAAATTTTTAAAAATATTTTCCAAAAAGGGATAAAACTAACAGCAAAACAAGCATGTTAAAAGTGGAAAAAATAAATTAATGAGGATATAGAAAGATTTTAATTAGAAGATTTAATAAAACTCAATGGTGCTTTGAAAACACATGAACAAATCTTTAACAAGTCTTACTAATTAAAAAAAGCAGAGGATACAAATAAACAATATTAAAAGCCGACAGATGGTCTCAATCACAGCTACAGAGGAAATTTCACTAATTCAAAGGGAATACCATAGAGAAACTTATTCTAATGTAATGAAATGTAGATGAATACGTTTTTCTAGGAAAAACATAAATTGCCAACATAAACTCAGAAAAGGGTAGAAAATCTGAATAAAGCAAAAATACAAACAAAACATTTAAAATAGAGAAAAAAATTCACTTTGCAAGACACAATAGTAATATAGGAGATAAATTACAATGACCATTCAATTTCGCCAAAAATTTTTTTAACTTTTATTTCAAGTTCAGGGGCAGATGTGCAGGTTTGTTATATAGATAACTGTGTGTCATGGGGGCTTGTTGTACAAATTATTTTATCACCCAGGTATTAAGCCTAGTACTCATTAGTTATTTTTCCTGATTCTCTCCCTCCTCCAACCCTCCACCTTCTGAAAAGCCCAGTGTGTGTTGTTCCCCTCTATGCATCCATGTGTTCTCATCATTTAGCTTCCACTTATAAGTGAGAAAATGTGGTATTTGGTTTTCTGTTCTTGTGTTAGTTTGTTAAGGACAATGGCCTCCAGCTCCATCCATGTTCCTGCAAAGGACATGATCTTGTTCTTCTTCATAGTTTCATAGTATTCCATTAATTTCACCAAATTTTTTTTAGTTGCTAATGTTCAGCATTGGTGAGTGTATGGATAAAATAATTATTTTCATAGATTGTTCAAAAAATGATATAGCCTTTAGGTGATATTTTAAGCACATATAAAATTTTATGTGCTTACCCTTTGATCCAAAAATTCTACCTTGAAGAACCTATTTTACAGAAAAGCTTATGCATGCCCCAAAAGGCATTTACAATGATGTAATTTGTAACACTGAAAATATTTGAACAAGCTAAATGTCCCTCATTCAGAGGCTGGCTATATATCTTGCACACTAATTCTATAGAACAGTTTAAAAATAATAAGGTGTATTTGTATTTACTTATTTCCAAGACATGTATTTAAAGAGAAAAAAGCAAATTACAGGGCAATATGTGCAATGTAATCCCATTTAAATTTTGAAGCAATGATAACATTGGGTATTGCATTCTATCTAGCAGAATACTCACCACACTGTTAAGAATAATTACTTTGGAAGATCAAAGTGGGTGGAAACCGAATAAAGGGACAAACATGAGAGACAATATAGGAATATATACACATACATGTACATGCATGTACATACATATACATGTATATGTGTGTATATATATACGCATACATATATATACTTGTTGAAAATTAATTGCATATATGCAATTGATTTTACATATATATGCTTGTTGAAAATCAATTGTATAATATGCATATACATATATGCAACTGATTTTCCACAAGTATGTCAAAGAAATTAAGCTAAGAAAAAATCACCTTTTCTAAAAATAGTTCTAGAACAATTGGTACAAAAAAAAATTAACCTGACCCTTACCTCAAACCATATACAAAACTAACTCAAAATCAATAATATTTTTAACTGTAAGGGTTAAACCTATAAAATTTCTAAAAGAAAACATAGGGGAAAATCTTAATGACCTTGAGTCTGGTGAAGATTTTTTAAATATAGTACAAAAAGCACAAACATAAAAATATATAAATTTGACCTTATCAAAACTAAAACTTTGCTCCTTAGAAAATAGCACTAAGAAGATTAAAAATGGAGCCAAAGACTGGGAGAAGATAAAAATGGAGCCAAAGACTAAGAGAAGATATTTGCTAATCATATATCTAATAGATAACTTATATCTAGAATACATACAGAACTCTTACAACTCAAGAATGAAACTAAATAATTTTTTAAATAAAGCAAAAGATTTGAACAGATACTTGACCAAAAAAAGGTATATGGATAGCAAATAAGCATATTGAAAGAAGCTAAACATTATTAGTTATTAGAGAAATGCAAGTTAAAACCACAATGAGATAGCACTACAGACCCACTAGAATAGCTCAAATTAAAAGGATTGACAATACTAAATGTTAGTGAGGAGGTGGAACTCCCACCACTGCTAGTGAGACTGTCAAATGGAACCACAACTTTGTAAAACAGTTTTTCAGTTTCTTAGTATATGACCTAGCCATTCCACTCCTAGGTATCTACCCTAGAGAACACATTTGTACATGAATACTCCTGGCACCTTTATTTGCAATACCTCAAAACTGGAAACGGGCCGGGTGCAGTGGCTCACGCCTGTAATCCCAGCACTTTGGGAGGCTGAGGTGGGTGGATCACAAGGTCAGGAGTTCGAGATCAGCCTGGCCAAGATGGTGAAACCCCGTCTCTGCTAAAAATAAAAAATTAGCCAGGCGTGGTGGCAGGCGCCTGTAGTCCCAGCTACTCGGGAGGCTGAGGCAGGAGAATTCCTTGAACCTGGGAGGCAGAGGTTGCAGTGAGCCAAGATCGTGCCACTGCACTCTAGCCTGGGTGACAGAGCGAGACTCTATCTCAAAAAAAAAAAAAAAAAAAAAAAAAAAAAAAAAAAAAACTGGAAACAACCCAAATGTCCATCAACATGTGAATGGATAAACAAATTGTAACATATCCATTCAATGTGATACTATACAGCAATCAAAACGAATGAACTATTGATATGCACAACAACATGGATGAATCACAAAATACAACGAATGAAAGAGGCCACACAAAAAAAGAACACATAAAGTTTTTCATTTATAAAAAATTCTGGAAAATGCAAATGAATCTATAGTGACAGAGAGAAGATCAGTGACTGTCTGAGAACTGGACAAGGAGGGGAGGAGAAGGGTGAGGAGAGGAGCAAGTGATTACAAAGTGTAGTGAGAAAACTTTTGTGTTCATTATCCTGACTGTGTTCATGGTTTCATAGTGCATTTTTAAATATGTGCAATGAATATGTGTCAAGTATACCTCAATAAGAATGTACAATTTTTTTTAATTCCAATAAGCAATTCTCATTTCTTGCTTATGTTAATATAGTGGACATTGTTGGTTGCCCAACCTACATCTGTTCTCTCCTTCACCATCCCCAAAAGAACTCTAGTCTTATGACTCAAGGGAAGATAATTCCTATTTCCTGAGGTAGGATTTATTGGTTTATTTACCCCTAATGCCTTAGCAATAATAAATTTGGGAAATCACATTTAAGTCATTAAATGCAAGGTATTTTTCTGTCCAGGATTTGGTTCAGGAATAAGCATGACTCAATTTAGCCCAATAATAAGCCAGGAAGAGTATACCAGGGGCTTCTGTAAAGTTAAGTTTTCTCCCTCTGAAGTGTGAGCAAGTAGAAGAGACAAAAATTCTCTTCTGGATGCCAGAAGGTACTGATGTGAAACCAGAAGCAACTATAACCATTTTGTCTCCATGAGGGAAATAGTCTCACGATAAAACCAACACACAGAGAAGGGTACCCCCAAGAGAATCCAGAGTAATGAAGACAGAACCATTAGAATAAGGTGAACTGGAAGCCTTCTCTACTTCTAAAATTCTAGTAGGAAGAGTCAATACATACCCTGGTTGTTTAAGCAATTTGAATCAGGTTTTCTGTTACTTCCAGCCTTATATCCTTGTTCTCTCTATAGCACTTAACAGTTAACTACTTCCTTCCTCCTAAACAATCTTTTCCTTTGCCTTTGCTGACTAGATCTTCTTACCTCCCTTGAACATGCCATTTAAATCTCCTTCATAATCTCCTTCCTCTACCCAACCATTTAAGGTGTGTATGATTTCTATAGACGGCTTACTTTTTTGACTTTCCTTGTTTCTAACTCAATGCTTTCCCCTTAAATAATCTCACCAATTTCTATGGTTTCCAGAACCTGATAGCCAGCAAATTTATAACTCCAGCTGACTCCCCTCCTGAGCTCGCAATCCACAAAAGCAACCACCTACTCAAAATTTTCTATTAGACATGCTAACATCTTAATTAAATTTGTCCAAAACCGAGGTCATCCTCTTGCATTGACACACAGAAAACTCTCTCCCACCAGTGTTCCATATCTCAGTAAATGTTGCCTTCATCCAACCAGTTCAAGACAGAAACTTGGAAATTATCCTTGAATTCACACACTCCCTCTCTTCACACTCCCTCTACCCACTAAATATCTTTTGGACCCATTTCTTTTACTCCAACTCTGCTATCACTGTAGTCCAAACAACATTCATTATGGTTCATCTCCCACTAGTCTACCTACTCTACTTTAGTTCTCAACCAACCTATTCTTCATACTGTAGTATGAAGTATATACTATTAATGCAAATCCCACCCTGGCATTCGCCTACTTTAAATCCTTTAGTGCTCTCACATTGCCCTTAGGAAGAGTCCAAAAGCCTTAACAGGGACTACAAAATCATGCTTGATCTAGCCCCATCCAATCTCTTTGGTCTCATCTAATATCACTCTTCCTTTCCCCAAGTTTCTCCATATCGTACATTTTTCAGTTTCTCGTACCCACCATACTGCATCTCAGGATAGTCACACATGCTGCTCCCTCTCACTAGAAACCTCTCCCCACTAATCAACCTAATTTCACACGCTCCACACTCAGGACTAGTCTAGATACTGTAACTAGTGATCTCCAGAGTTGTGCAACCAACTACCCTGTCCCTGCTATTGTCTAACTACTTCTTAGCTACTTAGATTTCAGCTTAAACATCTCTTCCTTTAGGAAACCTTCTCTAGTCACCCAACCCAGGCTCAGTCTGATTCTCATCTTGAATTTTTGAGTTGCAACACTGAGCACATTTGTGACTCTTTGTTCAATGTTAGCCTGTAATTTTCACTCAGCCAAACTATTGATATTAATAGAGAACTGAACATAATGGTATACATAAGAATGTGATTAGACTTTTTCCTTCATATCATGTCAAATGCCTAAGTAATATTTAGCATATTTTCTTCCTATCCCTGATGATGATCTCAGCTTAGAAATAGCATGAAAGAGAAACATAAAATAATGTTAATTATCCTTTTTATTTCAATAATTTGGCTTTTTGTTGTTGTTTCACACAGCTACAAAGCCTGGAGAGTATAGGTGTGCAATTTTATATCCATTCCTCCATAAATCCACCCTCCAAGAAAACAAGCCATGGGAAGGCTATAACTATACAAAGTCTTAGAGCTCAGACAAAGGATCTCACTAATGGAGAATCAACTACTTAGGTGGCACACAGAGGCCCTTCTATAAAAGGAGATGCTTACAAATACTAGATTCTGTGACCTTTACTAGGTGTGCACCCTCCATACTACATGTGAATGGAGAAAGGCATAAGCTTAGAATTTTCCCCAGCAGTTTTGAGGAGTAAGGACTTGGGACTCCTCAAATGAGGAGCAATATTAGAGCTGTAATTCTGAAGTTCCTCTCTTTGTATAGAGAGAAAGCCAAGACACCATGCACTCTACAGACTCATCAAAGCAGCCATGGGGCTGCCCCTCCATTTTCTCAAGTCAAGAAAGTAACCCTCAAGCAGAGATTGGGCCATTCCCTAGTGAGAGGCAAGAGCAATTTTAATGGGACAAAATTGAAAAGAGAGAAAAGGGCATCCCAGATGATTCTGTTTTGCTGCAGTATTTTAGGTAGCCAGCAACTACCTCAGCAGTGATTACTAGAAGGATCCATGTGGAAAAATGGCCATTGAGGAGCGGAAGCCAGAGAGAAATCCCAAAGGAAGAAGCAATCCTGAACCTCTGGGTGCAACCTGGCCCAACCACCCTGCACATTGTCAGCAGCAGAGAGAGCTTTCTAAACTGGGGGAGAGATACTGGTCATGAATGCCTGCACTCCCTCCTCCCTAAGCTGCTTCATCAGGCAGTTTAGAAGAGTTTTGTTCAGTTGAAGGTAGAGTTTACCAGGACCTAAAGGAAACACACACTTTCTATTACCTTTCCTAGAGCAATAGATAGAAGACATATATGGAGAGACCTACAGTGGAATGAAAATGGGGCATAGCCATGTCCTGGATTCTTAAATATACTTATTTCTGGATTCAGTGTTTTAGTTTTCTTCTATAACATGCCATTGGTTAGAATCATGGGCTCTAGAGTCTTATACACCCCATATTCTGTTGAATAAAGACTCTACTTATTGACAGGGCTTCCTTGAACCTCACTCTCTTTGTAGGTACAATATGCATAATAATACCTGTATTACACTGTTGTGATGAAGATTGCAATGGTGAGATTAATTGAATTAGTGTATGTCCAGGACTCAAAGCCCTATTGACCCTCAAGCAAAGGAGGGTTTAATTCTGAATATGGCTGTAAAGAAGGATGCCTGAGGTTGCAGGTATAAAAATGTAGTCCAGAGTAGGACCAAGGTAAACCCAGAGGATGTAACGTGGCAGTTAAGAGGTTTCTAATCAGCAGCTCCCAAAGTTAGTTCCAAGGAACACTAGTTTTTTAGGAGAATACTAAGTGGTACTCATTTAAATAAAATTTCTGAATCAAATGCATTTGGGAAACATTGGATTCAATAATTTAAAAGCTTTCTTCTTGCAGGATTTCTGGGTGACTTTCACATGCTGATATTCCTGGTACTCCCCTACACCAAAATGAATTTGAGCATGGAGTCCCTTTCTCTTGGTACATTTCAAAGGACTATTGGAACATAGTCTGGGAAATGTCGGTTTAAATGAATGGGCCTCTGTGTTCTGTCTGACAATTCTTTCTTGAACTCAAAACCCAGAGCCACCTTATTCATTAGTCACTATAGGATGGTGCCCAGCATCCACAAGCTTTTCTAAGGCTTAAAGACGATTGAGAACTGGGGAAAAAATGCTTACTCCAAAGAAAAAAATGCAAAAAGAAAACTGCACAAAGCTGAAACATATATTTAAGTAACCATCTACAAAATGTAACAGCATGCCAACTAATCAACTGCTGTTCATGACATTTTATATATATAATTACATAAAAATACACATCATAGAATATGGGTGCATTTTAACATGCTTGCCATGCTATGATTTAGGAGCTCCATGAGAATGAGAACCTAGAGTTGAGAAAGGCCATACCTTTTGACCGTAGATATACACTCATATGATGTGTACACACACACACACACACACACACGCGCGCACACCCTGGAGCTGCAGAAGTTCCAACCAGTAAGGAACCAAAATTATGAACCAAGCCTCTGGCATAAGAGCAGCACCTGGATTCAGTTGCTGAACCTAATAATAGGGTACATAGAGGATTCTCCCTCCCCACCTTCCACAGCCCTCAGGGTCCACAGACAGTACAATTTGGATTCTTTGTCATGTAGCAAACCCTTTTTGGCAATAGTCACAGAATTCTGCAGCAAAGCACAGCTCATTCTCAGTAAATCTACCCCTCCCTGTGACAAGCCATTCACAGCACCTATTTCACAGCTGGTGGCTTCGCATTCACGGCTTCTGAAAGGAGCTCTGGATGGCAAAAGGCAACATTTTCAGGAGTGAGTGGGGGAAGGAGTTGGAGCAAGGCTGAAAGAAAACCTCAGCTTCTAAAGGTCGTCTAAAGAAATTTCACTTGTTCAAAAGGAAAAAGTAAGGATTACATAAAGGTAAGAATTCTCGGAGCCTTGCTCACTGTGAAAATACGGCCGCCCTTCACGTCCTCAGCTCCAGCCTGGGCTGCAATAAAGGGCCAGTGAGGGCAACGACAGGGATCTCTGGAGAATGACTCTGTGTCTGTGTCCCTTTCTGAATGGTCTGGAAAGACATCTGGACTCATGGAATAAGTCTAAGCTGTCAGTCCATTTCTCTACCTCTATGGAGAAAAAAAAAAAAAAAAGAAGCTATGATTCCAAAAGCCCAAAATATTAACCCTTCTTCAAATCAACCCATTTTTTAAGGTCTGATATGTATCATGTAAGGAAATACACTTTTCTCACTTCAAATGTTTGATTTTCACAGTATGACTCATTTCACATGGTTTCCCGTATACCAAAGTCTATTGTGAATGATTGAAACACTAAATGAAAAGAAGGGTAGACACACACACACACACACACACACACACACACACACACACCCCCCACAGAGGAAACGGCCTTTCCTTTGTTAATCTAACAAGAGAAACAGTAAAGACAATCAATTTCAACTATGTGAAGAAATTATTCTAAGTACAAATATGAAAAGCAATGAAAATATAATTAAAATTTGCTGCATGAAAAAAAAATTGCACCCTTCCACCGTTTTTTGAGCTAAATTTCCCTATCCTAGCAGCAGTGACTCCCCCAATGACATTTTTGCTCTTATGGATTTCACCACTTCCTCCAAAGCTGTAACTTTTCTCTCTCTTCCTCCCCTTCCTATTATTGTCACTAGGGAGAGCGGAATGACATGTTCAAGAAAATGCTTGCCTGGAGGCCAGAGTGTGTTTCCTTTGCACTTGGATTTCCATTTGTTCCACTAAATTTCCTTACAATTAATTTTTAAAAGGGCTGAGAGAGTTCATTTCCCAAACAGCTAACAAGAACTGTGTTCTGTAAAAGCAGACAAAATGGTACTGGGTGACCATTTTTGCTACCATGATCAAAATCTTACAGTATAAATTCTGACTCTGCATTCTGCACTTTACTACTCTGATATAGTAATGGGAATATGTTGATTCTCCCATGATACCCATCCAGAGCCAGGAACTGATGTCTCTTAATTGCACTTTAGCCTAAAGCATATTAAATGCAATTTGATTATAAAATACATCTGAATTGCCATAAAAAATTCTTGGCAAGATTTCCAAACATCAAGTAAAGAAATCTATAATCTCCTAGTCTAGCCCTTTTCCTGACTTGCCAGGTAACTTTGTATAAAGGCTGTTTCTTCCCCACACCTCTCTTTCTCAGCCAATAAACTAGTAATGATAGATTTGTCTAGCACTTAGGAATGGCTGAAAGACACTTCTTTACAATTTGACAGCATTTTGCAAATGACAAGCTGGCTTTAGGCTAAATATGTCAGAATGATGCTTCAGCATGGGTTGTTGGGGTGGACTTTTAAATATTTCTATTTCACAAATTCATTGGCATCACTGATCAGCCCTACTCATTATAGCTCGGTTTTAACACCATGCGTATGCTACCTTGGGTTCAGTGTTATGAGCCCAAGCCTTGCCCCACGACTTCATTGCACTCTCACAATGCTGACACCATTTCCGGCAAAGAGAGCAAAAGAAATAAATGCACACTGATGGATGGATTTGTCACTGGAAGTGGTAAGCCCTGACCCTCTCACTGAAGGGGTCTGCACATCTCAGACATGCTCAGCGTGACAGCCTGCCCCACCCTTTGGGTATTGCAAACCAGTCCCTGCATCCAACTGAATGCAAAACCCCTTCTTCACAAAGGTGTCTGGGGACAGGAGCATGAAGTAGCAGATGCACAGGTTTGTCCTGATGTCTGCCTCCCACACTCCCCTGGAAGATCTCCAAGCAGGAGGATGGGCACAAAAAGTGACATAAATAGATTAAGTTATTCAGCCTTGATCTGCCTAGAGACAACTGGAAAAAAAAAATCCTAGGTAGAAAAATGAATGAAAGGTTTCTTTTTCTCTAGTAATGAAGAGGAATGCTCACTACCACCTTGAAATAGAATCCTCTTTTTAAACTAAGAAGCCCAAAGTACCTCAAGTGTATTATCTGACATATCCTCTCAACTGCCTTGAACAATTTGAGTACAGATATTGATCTTCACTTAGGACTGGGGCTGATCAGGTAAGAAACTTGCCTGCAACCTATTTCCCTATCAGGCAATAATAGAATAGTACATAGAATGGTATATGGTGCAAAACTTCCAAATATGCAGGACCACACTAATCTGCAAGCTCAAGGGCTAAGTTATAGGTGACTGCCCTAGACCACTAACACAGAAGCATCCTGACAACATGAAACAAAGGCTGATCGAACATAGCCAGCATTCACAACTTTTTGTTTTTTTTTTAATTTTAAAGGAAACAGATCCTCATTGTTGGTTGGTCCGAGCGCCCTCATGTGTCTCAATAGAGTAATGTCATTTTAGGTCTCCCCAAGAGCTATTTCAAAGGACAGATTCCATGACACACAAATCCTCTTCCTATTTGCTTCAGAAGCCTCATGTGAAACTTTGCAGATTTTCAGGCTGCTCTAGAATGATGAATTTGTCCTCTCTGATATAAAGTGACATTGGAACTTATACGTGAAGGTATGAGAAGCAGATGTTAACAGGAGTAGAGGCTAATTTCAACTTGCCTGTTCTGGTTTAAGCATGTCAGGTCATCCTGCCTATTTCTTTTTCCTGTACCCTGCTCCCCGCACCCTGAGGGGCAGGGCTGTCAGCATGTACACTCTCTCTATCACTGCTCTGGTCACACAACTAAAGAACCCAGAGTTGTTTCTGTAATAAGCAAATCTCAGGAGATTTTTCTACCATCCACTTTAAGACTATGGGAGAGCCATTCTTCTCTTTGGATCCCCAGATCCTCCTGTGGGAAGGGAGGAGAGCAGTTCTTTGCTCACAGTTAAGAAGTTTCTGCAGTAATGCCTGGCATAGAGCAGATAGGCACCCAGTAAATGTTAATTGAATCCAAATCTACAAACTCTATTCCAACCCACTTGCTGTATTGTATTTCCAGAAAACAGATATTCTTCTTCAAATACAACATGCATGCTTTAAGAACTAGCTTGGGAATTCATGGAGCACAGGCAAAGGTCAACCATCTCTGCATTTCCCACAACACCTGACCTAGAACCAGGCACACAGTCACCTTCCATCAACAAAGGAGAGAAGTGGGGAGTTTGCCCTCTTAATATATTTTCTCACCTTCTTTCTTTAGTAGAGTTTACAGCAATCAAAGACTTGCAAATGGCACAGATTTTCTCATGAATTGAGGACTGTCCACACAGATAATCTGGTGCCTTTATAGAAGAGTAAATAAAAATGTTTTCCCCTCATCTTCCTCATTTTCCTTCTTCTTCTTCTTTGTCTTGAGGTTAGGAAGGCATGAATCAACAGCCCAAAGTCCAATCAAAAAAAACACAGGCTCAGAATTCCCAAAGAAAAATGGTCCAACTTTGGTCACTATGCCAAAACAACCTTGGTGGGTCTTGCATTCTGTTAGCCAAACACGTGCGCACACACACACACACACACACACACACACGAACATTTACCAAGAAAACATGCTCTGTTCTTGGGCTCCTCTCACCAAAAGGCAAAGAGCTGTTCACTGCTTAGCTTTAAGCTAGCCAAATCCAACAAAGCCCCAGAGACTTTTGGCTTAATCTTCTCACTGAACTCATGCCAGCCTTGCACGGGCACAGCCAGGGCATCATCACCCAGTCTTAGGTGTTGGCAGCTTCTCCCACCAACTTCTTAGCACTTTCCCTGCTCAGGGCAATGGCAAAGTATACCCTCCCCTCCCACCCACTGCACTTGGGCGCACTTGGGCGCACATTGCAGTCAAGTCCTTTTTTTAGGTAATTCTGCTGCTCAACAGTATGCCAGAAAGCACCTGCCTAACAGAGACACTAGATAGTCCTGTCAACTAAAAGTCATAACTAAAATATAAGGAGGGAAAAGTCCTCATGTGTATTATCTCCATTACCACTAAACTGGGAGAAAGGTTTTTCCCAAGACAATCCTTAGGTTAATTAATAATTTCCAGTTCATTTAAAACATCTCTCATATTTGTCTCCCTTCCTTTCCTGCCACAACCATTGTAGGCCAGAATCTCATCAACAAAATTCTGTTATTAACAAGTCTTAAAACTTCTGTTCTTTTCTTCCTCCAAACCATCATAAGTATGATGAAATAATCTTGCCTAAACACTTATTTCCACCCATCATTTAACAATTCCTACTCAAGAGCCCGAATAACTTCCTGTTCCTTACAGGATAAAACTCAGACTGTGAAGAGCGCTAAGCAAACTCCTCCATATTCTCTCAGACCCCCAAGAGAAGTTACAAAGAAACCAGACATCACCACCAGGGCCCCCAAGACCCTTTTATCTTGCTATATCACAGTTCCAGACAGTTGCACAATGATTGAGGGCACTTGGATATCCACATACCATGACATTCTAGGCAGAAATTTTACACTGGGCATTTCATGTAGACTTCAGCTCCTTCCCCTAAGGTTCTCAAATGCATTGGCATGCATACTAGTTACATTCAAATCAATGGGCTGACCACTATTGTATTTCTTCAAAGGACAGTTTACCTGTTATTGGGAAACACTTGGCACACCTAGCAATGAACTTCCAGGCACAAGATAGTAAGTGAGCAAAATAAGAAGGAATAATAAATCAACATCAGAAAAAAAAAACACAAACACATCTTGATGCTTGTAGGACATCGTGTTCTGGTGAGAGCAACGGAGAGTTGGAAAAACAAAGTAGATGGCTGGTGGTAAATCATCACCCTACCAAGCCAAGCAGACCAACTCAGGGAAAGCCCAAGAGAAACAAATGGCACTGCCTTAGATGATGAATAATGGCCAAGGAGGTAGAGAATGCTAAAGAACAGAAGTCAAGACCCTTGGGAGGAATACGCATCTGTCCTCTTACTCCCTTTCTGGAAGAGAGCACTGAGAAATTCTATTGCCTTGCCTGGCATCTACTACTTCTAACTAAAGCAATACAAATAACCTTGAAGCTTTCCACAATACAAGCTTTGTTTTTTAAAAATGAAATAGCATAGCTTTTCCTAAATTCTTAAAAAGCAACAACAGCAGTTTACATCTTTCCCCACTGATCTTTCCCTCAAGAGCTTTCCCCCCATCTCCAGCCAGTGCTGCCTGAGCCTGTGTCTTACTATATGAGGTCCTGACATCCCGAACCTTTAGGAAGTATGACTGTGGCTGGTCATCTTCCCAACTCACCTGTAAGTACCTTCAGGACAAGAATAATGAACTTACCTTCTTCTCTATGTCTTCTCATTTATCCTCCCACATTGTCCCCTAGCACTCAGCCCAGAAGGTTCTAAAGAAATACCAATACTGCCTGTTAATATAAATTAAAATGTATTCTTGTTATATAATGTAAATCTGAAAATTCCCTTCCTTTCTTTTAGATATTTCCTGTATCCTTTATTCCTTCTATTCCTTTTTCTAGCAAACTTTCATACTTACCAAACAACCCTATTTTGTGAGGGATAGGCTATCATCACCCAGAACCGTCCGCCGCCCCCCCCCCCCCGCCCCCCACCACCCTATCACCCCACAACATACACAGAGCTGACACTTGGTTTAGTTTGTGGTTAACAGGGGTGGCACTCTTTCTTCAACTTTTGTTTGAAGGTTTTAGGATGCAAAGTAAAGCCACTGGCCCCATTTCTCTGCAAGATTATCCTGCCCAAATCTGTATGAATCACCAGTGGCCATTTCTCATCTACTTCCCCAAAATTATTAAAGGTTTTATTGTATAATACCTTCACCACCTTCCTACCCTAAGAAGTCCTCTTCTGGCTCATTAACCTCCTTCACATGTTGGGGACAAACCTCAGCATTGCCTACAACTCACTTATAAGAAAATATAAGTTTCTATACCAGGCATGATTTGTGATTGCAGTGCAATTTTCCTATTAAGTCTAGAGCTTATCATTCTTCTCTCCTACACATTCTGGTCTTTCTCTACCCCTTCTTTCCATTCTGCCCCCTTTTTTCCTACCCCTCTCCCCAAGAAATGAACTGGTTTCCATTCAGCAGGTTTAGTCTTGCTTTGGCCAGCTTATTGTTTCAAAGTGGTTATAAAGTTGCTGGGCTTGAACACAGATTATTAATTTTCAGGCATTCATGATGTCTCCCTGTTGAGTGTGGTATGTGCAGGTGTGCACATGTGTACCTGGGGTAACTAACACTCCTGGACTATGCAATTTTGCTGGTGACTGAAAAGATGAAGTCAAAGTTGATTTGATTATTGAAGAATCACATTATTTTAGAGGTATACAGAATGTCAGAGTCCAACTTTGGCGTTTTACAGATGGGAAAACGAGGTGGGGCAAGGTAAAAAGACTTAGCCAGAGTCATAGGTTGATCAGTAGGGGGACTAAGGCTTCAGCTCTGAGCTGTCATATCTCAGTCCCCCAAGGCTTTTCCACTCACATAAATTCCCCCTCAAGGGCTCAAATGTGTGAGTGAGAACCCAGGATGTCCACATACAAACAAAAATGCATCATAGACATGTGAACATGTACACACAGAGAAGATAGGGAGTTATTGCATTTGTAGCCTACAAAACAGAACCGAGAATGTGCTGTTAAAATTAGAGTAAAACTGCTGTAAGCAGGTTAAGTTCTCATCTAAAGAGATCACATTTCCCCACCATACCCCTGCTATCCATTTCCCCCAAGTGGCTCATTAGAAAAAAAGATGGCTAGATTTCAAAAAGCAACTTGGAGAGATTTCTATAGGATTTTTCTTTAGTTCAATCAATACAGAGTTATCTCTTACTTCCACGAAAATAGCTTTTTCACACATCTCTGCACACACAGTCACACACACATATAAAACATTGGCAGCAGGTACTTTTAATTTGCTGGAAAATATTTCTAAGAAGTCAAAAAGCTCCAGCTGAATTGCATGCCCTCTTATTGGCTCACCAGACCAGTTGAGGGACCTGATTGGTCCTTGATCCTGAGGACCGATAAGAACGGCTATAAAATCCCTGGGTGCAGCTCTTGGGCCCCCAGTTTGCAAAAGCCAGAGGTGCAAGAAGCAGCGACTGCAGCAGCAGCAGCAGCAGCGGCGGTGGCAGCAGCAGCAGCAGCGGCGGCAGCAGCAGCAGCAGCGGAGGCACCGGTGGCAGCAGCAGCATCACCAGCAACAACAACAAAAAAAAATCCTCATCAAATCCTCACCTAAGCTTTCAGTGTATCCAGATCCACATCTTCACTCAAGCCAGGAGAGGGAAAGAGGAAAGGGGGGCAGGAAAAAAAAAAAACCCAACAACTTAGCGGAAACTTCTCAGAGAATGCTCCAAAACTCAGCAGTGCTTCTGGTGCTGGTGATCAGTGCTTCTGCAACCCATGAGGCGGAGCAGAATGACTCTGTGAGCCCCAGGAAATCCCGAGTGGCGGCTCAAAACTCAGGTAAGCAGCAAACCCAAGAGCGGTTTCTCCCCCAAAGAGCTGTCCTCATTTGCCTCTCCCTTTTGCAACTGTGTCTGTGACGGCTGATCTTGATAATAAATGTGCTTCATGCCTGATGGCAATAAACTGCCAGTGTAATCCAATAGCCTTAGGCAGTGGAGCTCCTTTGTTTAATAAATTGCATGCAACTAAACGAAGAAGCTGGACGCTCTGCTGAGGGTATTTCATTGCATAAGCCTAGCCTGATTGCCTGAAATCTGGCACGTACCCTCTTGGAGGGGGAGGGGTGAGAGGGGAGGAAAGGCTTGAATGTTGGCATGCTTCAAAGCGCTCTCTATACTTTCCAGAAGCTGATCTAAGGTAAGACCTGGCTTGTTTGATGCTGTCCCTCTTCCTTTCCTCTTAAGACTCTACCTCTTCACTTCTTGACTTCTCTACCTAAGAGAATACACAGAAAAGCTCCCTCTTCAGACTGATTTTCAGAACCATAGCCCTCAAGTCTGACAAATCCAGGGCGGATTCAGAGAAAACCCTATACATCCCACCCCCAACCCTGCTGCCTGTCTCCCTCCTGGCTCTGTAGGGCTCCATTCAGTCGTCCCTGCAGCCCGTAGCCAGAGAGCCCCTAGAAAAAAAAAATTGTGAAACGTAGCAGCTGTTTCTCCAAGGGTAAGGTCTCACTTTCGTCTTGACTCTTGGAGCAGTTAATTGTGCATTATCTTGGCTTCTGAAGGAAAAGAATCATTAGGAAGCCTGCATTGACACCTCTGCCTCTTGACTTCTCTGGCTCCACTTGTTCCCCTTCCAATACTGCCCTCTGTCCTCCAACTGTCAGCAAAGACCGGATCACAGGTGTCAAAATGCTGCAGATGATGATCCCCTTGGAAGAGCACAGGTCCCTGCCGAGAGGAGGGCTTTTGCTTCACTTCCTTTTGTACTTAGTTGCTATAGAGATGCAGTGATTCACAATTCGAGCTTGCCTAAAACAATAGCAGCCCTAATGCATATTAAAACTGCTTAAAGCAAAGTTATAATTTAAACCCGTGGAAATATATAATTAGGGAAATGACTTGTAACATCCTAGAGGCTGCGGGTGGTGGGAGGGGGTGGGGAAGACTAACTGAACCATGCTTTTGATCTCAGAGGAGAATCCTATGGCATGAAGGCTGCAGATCATTCCTTGCCTAGCTGCCTGCCAGAACACCCCCCTTCTGTGGGAGAAAAATTACTTTTATGGGAGATCTTATCCAGAATGTAGAAAGCCTCATGCAAGTTTTTTGCGGTTTTCTTCCAGTCTTGCATAGGGAGGCCTTGGCCTGGTTATTCCACACCTGTGTTTCTTCTTTCTTTCTTTCTTTCTTTCTTTCTTTTTTAAAAGGCTTTTAATATGAAAGAGATTATGCATACCTCTAAGCACTGTCCTAGTGGAGGGTTGGGGTGAAACATGAACGGATCAGATTTCTTTTTGCCAATATGACGGTAAGTTAAAAGCCTGAAATCAGAAGGGTCTCCAAGTGGACTCCTGGCACAGTCTTCTCTGCCATTTAGACTAAAATCCCATGCTTTTTACTCGGGAGTGCATTTTTCCAAAGCTAGATGGATTCCCTGGCCCTTTTACCTCTTAAACCTGACCACTAGCCACTGTCTCCTTCCTTCCCATGCTTTCAAGTGCTAAGCAATGACCTTTGATTCTATGGAATGGCTTAAAGGCACTGTGCATTTCCAGACTTGAGCCTCACTTCTCCAGACACCAAAATTGTAGGTAATGGTGAAACAGGGAGCGTGTGTCTGAAACAGAGAACTCCCTCCCTGTCCATCATGTACTCCAGCAATCATAAACAAAAGGAGCCTGTCTATCCTCTCTTTCTCAATCAAATGGGTCTATCAATTGCCCCTCATGACAGATTCCTAGGATAAGTTCTTCTGACCTCATGTCCTTGAAATTCACCTCTGCACCCACTTGATCCCACCCAGCCATTCCTCACTGTTTGACCCAGAATGGATGGATTTGTCTCTTTCAGCTGAAGTGGTTCGTTGCCTCAACAGTGCTCTACAGGTCGGCTGCGGGGCTTTTGCATGCCTGGAAAACTCCACCTGTGACACAGATGGGATGTATGACATCTGTAAATCCTTCTTGTACAGCGCTGCTAAATTTGACACTCAGGTAATAAAACCTTGACCCCTGCTCCCACTGGCTGCTTGTCTTTAACAGTGTGTTAGACCATGGTTCTTAGGAACCAGTCTTGTAGGGAACCAGCCCTGCTTCTCAGCTTCCCCACTCTAAATTCCCATCTCAGCATGTGTATGCACAAGTGTGTGCATGCACACACACACACACACACACACACAGAGGCACTCATCTGGCCAGGAAATAGGTTCTGTATAAGACACGCCCCACTCACTCTAATGCATGATTCTAAGGAGCTAGTAGAGGCTGTCTTATAAGGCCAGGGGTAATAAGCCAAAAAGATTTTCCTCTGTAAGAGGACATAAAAACGTGCATAGAGCAAGGAAGTTCTCTCTGCATGACCTAGCATACTAGCTTTTGATCTGAATTCTCAAAGTCTCAATCTCAAGAATATGAAGTCAGATTACGACTATTTTTAAGCTGCAGAATGGTTGATCACGGTTCATCTTTTTTTTCTGTAATTTCATTTCGGTAGAGCTTAATTCTCAAGGGAATCCAGGGAGATGGGGAGAGGGCTTTTTTTTTTTTCAATCCTTAGCCGAGACATGCAATCTTCTCATTGCAAGGATATGCAGATGGCCATGATACGTTGCCCAGATGAGCCCCCTTAAATTCCTCCATGTATATGCCCATCCTCTTTGTCAGGTCAAGCTAAAGACCTCCCTCTTGTCCTTCCTCCATGGCAGGGAAAAGCATTCGTCAAAGAGAGCTTAAAATGCATCGCCAACGGGGTCACCTCCAAGGTCTTCCTCGCCATTCGGAGGTGCTCCACTTTCCAAAGGATGATTGCTGAGGTGCAGGAAGAGTGCTACAGCAAGCTGAATGTGTGCAGCATCGCCAAGCGGAACCCTGAAGCCATCACTGAGGTCGTCCAGCTGCCCAATCACTTCTCCAACAGGTACAAACTGAGTCTACTTTTTCACAATCAGGGGACTGGGAGCAGGTGGCTGGCTGGCAGAGCCAGACTGGGAGGGAGGGTTAAATTGCCACAGTCATGCTCTTATTTTAGCTTGCAGTCTTCCCAGCTTTTGCAGGAAAAAAATATGTTTGTGATTGGTTGTGACAGTTTAAGCAGCTTGGGCTTTTTTTTCCCTACTGTTATAGGAAAAGTCTTTTCATGCAGCTCATAGAAAGCCAGCCTCATCTGCAGCATCCCTGGGTGCTTTCATTGACCATTTTTTGCCATAAGCCTGAAGGGAATGGTGAAGTTTCTGGAAACAAGCTTTTAAGACATCAGATTTGGCTGAAACCATGACCGTGCAACAACACAATTGGCCATGATTAAAAAAAAAAAAAAAAAAAAAAGCCCTCTGGTTAAATGTCATAATGCAGATTTTAAGTCTCCATCTATTTCAAATCAGTCCCAAACACAGTCAGAGATTTCACTGGGTAGCCCAGAGCAAGCCATCTCACTTCCCTGGGGCTCAGATTTCCTTTGTAAAAAGCAAAATGGCTGGACTGGACCATTTTCAGGTTTCCTTCCAGGCCTTATGTTATCCCATTCCTCTAGCCCAAGATTTCCTAGAATGAGTGTGTTTTATGGCTGTCCAGATCCCATTCTCATCTTAGTATTCAAACACCACCCAAGGCCACTGAGCTAGTACAGTAACATCTGGGCATTGTACTTTTCAGTGTTTTTACCAGCCAGGAGTGAATTCCTGTTACATGAGACAGCTGGCATCCTCAGTTCATGTGCGTGGCCTGGAAAGGTTCCCAGCAAGAACTAAGAGATGCCAATGGGGTTGGCGTGGAGGTCTGGCAGGGGCAGTGCAGACCGGTCAAGTTTAGCCCCCTGTGATATCCCTCAGCCTAAAAACTTGACTCCCAGCCTTGAATTTCTATGATTCTTTGACTCTCCACTCAAATCTGCACATATCCACAATGATCAGTGCTTTGCATGTTACTCTGACCACCTGAGAGTTATCACAGGCTTATCTGATTAATTTCCTAGCCAGGTGCCACCACCCTTCTTAAGACAGTGGCAACAGCCAAGTCCCTCTGGGGCTTACAAGTGATTTAGTCATGTACATACATGCAACAAAAAAGTAGTTCCTCCTTAGGGAAAGGCTAAGGTGCCTAACACAAACGCTGTGTAAAATTTCTTTTTCACCCTTAACTACAGGTGAGTGCCCTTCAGAACCACAAATCAATTTGTAAAAATCACTTCTCTAGTCCTTGGAAGTGACTTTATCATGGGGTTCTAAATGGTTTCCTCAGAACAGAAAAATCCAACCATTTTCTCAAGTGGGCTGTCTCTATATAACTCTTGGTTTTAAATTTCCCCTAGGAAGATTCTTATTGCACAGAGGAAACAGGTGCAGAGGGTGGGGAGGGGAGATCTGATTAATTATTGGAGACTTCCTTCACCATTAGGAAAAGAAATGAAGAATTCTTAGCCAGACAGGGGCTAAGGACAAAGTATGTGTTTGTGTGGTAGTTAGGGGTGGGGGGAGAGGTACATTAGCAAAGCCACTATTACAATTTAGATCCTTAAGGATTCTGTGACAAATCATGATCTATAATACGGCATATTTCCAATTTTGAGGCGATACTAATCTCCCTATTTCATCTGAAGTAGCATCTTCCATTAGAAAGGCAGAGAGGTCTTTAGGCAGAACTATATAGCTACTCGACTAGAGGTCCCAATTTATCTAAGAAGAGACTAGTAAATTTTTAACCAGGCTATTATTTCTTCTAATCAGTGCCTTATTTTCAACACCTTTAGAAAATGGTCACAAAGAAAGTCTTCTTATCTCCCTCTTTCATCTTAGGGACTCATTAGGAAAGGTCAATTGGAGAAAAAAAAAATGTGGCCAGCCCTTGAAAACCGGAATCTTCCATGCAACCTTTCTCCAAAAATTTCACTTTAACAGGCTATATTATTCCTGCTCAGGATTGTAGAAATGTCCGGTTCCATGCTGGGCTTGCTTTGCTCCATTGAAGCTGCTCACCTTCCTGAGACATCCTGCTTTCCCAGCCTCTATCCCACCATAGACACACGCTAAGTCAGTGCCAATTGGCACAGAATTGCAAGAGGAAGTAGTTACAGGTTCATTCCACCTTCCTGTGACTTATCTAGCATGAGATTTGGGGCTGGGAGAATCCAAAAGCCTGTGACTGGACCAGGAGCCAGAACAAGGGGATTTTCCATGACAGAAATGCACCTAGAGGGTAAAGAGGTAGCTGGAGTTTCCACCTGCCTGAATTTGCAGACTATGCTTTCAACCCTGTGGGAAGCAGGCAAAATTGATCAGGCCAGCAGGGCGGTGCGAGGCTTGGGAACCACTTAGACCAACCCAGATCCAGAGTGGGAAAACTGACAAAGCTTCCAACTCTCTAGGGCATGGATAGGGAACAGGAAACAGAAGAATAATATTGATCAAGGGAAACAAAGGACTATTTATAAACCCTCACACAGAACGTTCCTAGGCAGTATGTGTGTATTTGGGTAAGCATGGCTGAAACAGTAGCTATGGAGAATATCTGATCTTATTCTTTATCAAAAAAAAAAAGGTCAGGGATGGAATTTTCAAAGTGAGAAAAAAGAAACATAATTAAAAAGGTCCTTTCGGGCTGGGTGATCAGAACACTTAGTCCACCAAGTCTTTCCAACACATCTCCTCCATCCTCCATAAAGATAAAGAAAGGAATCTTCTTCTTCTTTTTTTTTTTTTTTTTTTTTTTTTTTGACAGAGTATCGCTCTGTTGCCCAGGCTGGAGTACAGTGGTGAGATCTCAGTTCACTGCAACCTCCATCTCCTGGGTTCAAGCAATTCTCCTGCCTCAGCCTCCAGAGTAGCTGGGATTACAAGCACTCACCACCACGCCCAGCTAATTTTTGTATTTTTAGTAGAGACAGGGTTTCATCATGTTGGCCGGGCTGGTCTTGAACTCCTGACCTCAGGTGATCCACCCATCTTGGCCTCCCAAAGTGCTGGGACTGCAGGCATGAGCCACCATGCCCAGCCAAGAAAGGAATCTTCTTAAGCAGTCCTAACTACCACTGCAAAGGAGGGGATGTAAGCAGAGCTGCTCTATTTTTTGTAAAATTGAGAAGAAAAATGTGTATTGAATCCCTAGAAACATAGAATGTCATAGTTGGAGATGACTGCTGAGGTTAACTAGACTAACTGCCTCATTTTACTGATTAAAGAATAAAGGCTCAGAGAGTGGAGTGACCTGCTGAAGGTCACACAGCTTGTGAATAACTAAGTTGGGCTTAGAACTCATGTGGCCTTGAGCCAAGCTATTTGATTTCTACTTCAAAAATGGCAGCCAGCAAAATCTGCAGGAAATAGCCACAACCCAAAAATAGAATACCAAGCACAATTGAATATATGTGCACCGTGGTAGTCCACAATTAAATTTGCGTCCTTTCTCTCCCAAAAGGATGGACACATCCTACCAATAGCTATAGGAACTATAAGACCATAGCACAAGAAGGTGCTCACTAAATAGGTGACGATTGCTAAGTCAACTCTTGCTGGAGACACAACCTCTTAAATAATCCATCTCACTTAGTGACACAGGAAAGGGCTATGTCATTGGCAAGCATGATCCCAGAGGTAAATGGCTATTCCAGCCCTTACTGGACAGGCACTGGTTAACCTATTGCTCATACTGAGAAACTGGTGACATCAAATAATCCTGACAAATTTTCCAGCCTTTGAAGAACTACTAATGGAGACATGGACTTTGTTTTATATTCTAAAGAGCTTTCTCAGCCTGCCCTTGCTGAGTTAACAAAAGCCCCATGAGGGAAATAGGGTAGATTCCAGTGGGGGTGGGTGGTTCTCACTAAGAGCCCTCAGGCTGGCAAGGGTCACTGTCAAGAAACACCAAGGTCAGGTGTCATATCTGAGCCAGCAGACAAAGCAACAGTAAAGGTAGAAAGGTAGAAACCCTCCAAAAAAGAGCAGGCACTCTGACAAAGTGGGGCCTGAAGGAAATGTATGGCCCTGAAGCTGCAAAGCTGGCTGCAGAAGCTTAATTACCTTAAGGGTACTAGACTTCTTTGTCCAGACAAGAGCTTTCAAGTCCTTCTAAGGAAGAACTAGCATTTCTTTTTATCCCTTTCTAGGGAAAGATTGTATTTTCCAGCCTATCTGGGGACTCATCTGGCATGAACAGCTCTTTCTAGAAATGGAAGGGTTAACTTCTAAGTTATAAAGTCCTTATTGGAGGGATGGGAGATCAGAAACCACCCACCAGGATCTAATCACCCTCTGAAATAGACACAGCCATCCAAAGACCCAGGTCCTAGCAGAGCCCAAGAGCCAGGTGATGCCTGGAGATCTATATGGGTGTGTAGATGTCAGAAGCTGCTGGTGCAAAGTTGTTTATTCTATGTTTCTCCAAAACTGGTTTTCTCCTCATTTCCCCATCCAAAGGAGATCTCCTTTGACTCATGTGCTTTGTAATTCCAAAGAGTTGGACAATGTTCCTCTGTGCCAGAGAGTCCCAGTTTTGACCACAGCTGGATATAATTCTCCCTGGAGGGAAGGGTTTCACCAGGCCTGTGTCAGCAACCAAGACACTGCACTTGCCTCTCAGTCCCCAGCTTCCTTCTGCTGTGCCACAGAAGGGTGACCATATCACCTCATTACCCACGTTCCATGCTATTTACCACACATCTTTGAAATAACCTCTCTGGGGGATTAAGTTATTCTAGAAAGATGTTTGATCCTGTGCACTGTTTGGTGAGTTAAAAATAAACAGGTTTCTTTTCACGGAAGACCTGGTGGCCCCAGAGATCCTTGGGCTCCTCTGAGAAAAAGTTCTCTCCATGTAAATACTGCAGGTCACTGTCACTGAGTCTCTTATTAGCGAACACAGAGGTAATGGGTTTTGACAACTCAACTGCGACTACAAAATGGACCAAATGCATCCCAGTCTAAATTGGATAATACCTGAACTGTCTTCCCAAATAACAGGACAAGTCATTGATATGCCCTAAATATTAGACAGTTTAATCCTTTCTGAGCCACAAAGCTTAGCTACATTGCTTGGGGGTATTTAAAGAATTCGCTGCAAAGATGAAGGTAACTGATACCAAACACAAGGGGTTTTGGTAAAATTTACTAAAACTACAGATAAGTTTTCTTCTGGGAATCACTACTTATTGGAGAGAATTATATTCTTAAAACTCCATTTCCTTAGTGGCTGCAAAATAAATCAACAAATGTGCAGTGATCAGGCAATGTAGCACGATGGCACCGGGCCATAAGGAATACAAAGAAGGACACAAATCCTGCCTTCAGTAAGCTTACAGTCTAGTCAGCGAAAGAAAGCCATCACAAAACCATCAAATGCTGGCCTATGTGATGGCAAACAAAGATCTATAAATATCCAAAAAGGGAAGAGGTTAGCAAACTCTGGTATAGTAGAAGAAGGATTCATGAATTATAGTAGCATGAACCCTTAAAAACCACCAATATTTCCATTTAAATAGACTTCTTGCCTAGGATTTGGCCTTCTGACTACAATATACCTTTGAAGGAGGGCTGAAGATGGAGTCAGTCAATATCTTTTATCAGGGCTGTCCAAGTATGTGATAAGGGCATTAGATTTTGTAGAAAAATGCATGGCACACAGAAGAGGGGGCCTTAGACAGAAGTTTCATCAGAAGATGCACAGATCTGCATACACACACACACACACACACCTGTGCCCACACACCACCAAAAAAAGGAAAATTACAAAAAAGCATCAAAATAATTACACATGCATGTACAATGGCTACTAATCTCAGTGATGAGCATTGGACTCACTTCATTCTAATTTGCTTCACCTCATCCACCTTAGTTTCTTCTCTACAAAATGAGAGTTGAACTAGTCACCAAATGGTCTCTGTGGTCCCAGCTAGCTCTGTAATTCTGTTTCTAAAAATGTCAGTCACCACAGTCAGCCTGCTCTTCAAAGTGTGATCTAAATCTCCTCAACTCTAAACATGAAGATCTGTCTTGCATTGTGTGGTAAACCCTAGGAGCAGATGCATTGAAACTAGGGTGACATGGCACAAGGGTTAGAGAGCAAAAGCCACCTTCAGCTGATGAACTATTGATGTTTGCATGGTCAGGCCATTAGGGACTCGTGTTGGCTAGAGCCCGGGTGAAAGCCTGGGTCTCGCCGGGCTCTCACTGGGTGACCACCATATGCACTCTCTTTCTTGATGCAGATACTATAACAGACTTGTCCGAAGCCTGCTGGAATGTGATGAAGACACAGTCAGCACAATCAGAGACAGCCTGATGGAGAAAATTGGGCCTAACATGGCCAGCCTCTTCCACATCCTGCAGACAGACCACTGTGCCCAAACACACCCACGAGCTGACTTCAACAGGAGACGCACCAATGAGCCGCAGAAGCTGAAAGTCCTCCTCAGGAACCTCCGAGGTGAGGAGGACTCTCCCTCCCACATCAAACGCACATCCCATGAGAGTGCATAACCAGGGAGAGGTTATTCACAACCTCACCAAACTAGTATCATTTTAGGGGTGTTGACACACCAGTTTTGAGTGTACTGTGCCTGGTTTGATTTTTTTAAAGTAGTTCCTATTTTCTATCCCCCTTAAAGAAAATTGCATGAAACTAGGCTTCTGTAATCAATATCCCAACATTCTGCAATGGCAGCATTCCCACCAACAAAATCCATGTGACCATTCTGCCTCTCCTCAGGAGAAAGTACCCTCTTTTACCAACTTCCTCTGCCATGTTTTTCCCCTGCTCCCCTGAGACCACCCCCAAACACAAAACATTCATGTAACTCTCCAGCCATTGTAATTTGAAGATGTGGATCCCTTTAGAACGGTTGCCCCAGTAGAGTTAGCTGATAAGGAAACTTTATTTAAATGCATGTCTTAAATGCTCATAAAGATGTTAAATGGAATTCGTGTTATGAATCTGTGCTGGCCATGGACGAATATGAATGTCACATTTGAATTCTTGATCTCTAATGAGCTAGTGTCTTATGGTCTTGATCCTCCAATGTCTAATTTTCTTTCCGACACATTTACCAAATTGCTTGAGCCTGGCTGTCCAACCAGACTTTGAGCCTGCATCTTCTTGCATCTAATGAAAAACAAAAAGCTAACATCTTTACGTACTGTAACTGCTCAGAGCTTTAAAAGTATCTTTAACAATTGTCTTAAAACCAGAGAATCTTAAGGTCTAACTGTGGAATATAAATAGCTGAAAACTAATGTACTGTACATAAATTCCAGAGGACTCTGCTTAAACAAAGCAGTATATAATAACTTTATTGCATATAGATTTAGTTTTGTAACTTAGCTTTATTTTTCTTTTCCTGGGAATGGAATAACTATCTCACTTCCAGATATCCACATAAATGCTCCTTGTGGCCTTTTTTATAACTAAGGGGGTAGAAGTAGTTTTAATTCAACATCAAAACTTAAGATGGGCCTGTATGAGACAGGAAAAACCAACAGGTTTATCTGAAGGACCCCAGGTAAGATGTTAATCTCCCAGCCCACCTCAACCCAGAGGCTACTCTTGACTTAGACCTATACTGAAAGATCTCTGTCACATCCAACTGGAAATTCCAGGAACCAAAAAGAGCATCCCTATGGGCTTGGACCACTTACAGTGTGATAAGGCCTACTATACATTAGGAAGTGGCAGTTCTTTACTCGTCCCCTTTCATCGGTGCCTGGTACTCTGGCAAATGATGATGGGGTGGGAGACTTTCCATTAAATCAATCAGGAATGAGTCAATCAGCCTTTAGGTCTTTAGTCCGGGGGACTTGGGGCTGAGAGAGTATAAATAACCCTGGGCTGTCCAGCCTTAATAGACTTCTCTTACATTTTCGTCCTGTAGCACGCTGCCTGCCAAAGTAGTCCTGGCAGCTGGACCATCTCTGTAGGATCGTAAAAAAATAGAAAAAAAGAAAAAAAAAAGAAAGAAAGAGGGAAAAAGAGCTGGTGGTTTGATCATTTCTGCCATGATGTTTACAAGATGGCGACCACCAAAGTCAAACGACTAACCTATCTATGAACAACAGTAGTTTCTCAGGGTCACTGTCCTTGAACCCAACAGTCCCTTATGAGCGTCACTGCCCACCAAAGGTCAATGTCAAGAGAGGAAGAGAGGGAGGAGGGGTAGGACTGCAGGGGCCACTCCAAACTCGCTTAGGTAGAAACTATTGGTGCTTGACTCTCACTAGGCTAAACTCAAGATTTGACCAAATCGAGTGATAGGGATCCTGGTGGGAGGAGAGAGGGCACATCTCCAGAAAAATGAAAAGCAATACAACTTTACCATAAAGCCTTTAAAACCAGTAACGTGCTGCTCAAGGACCAAGAGCAATTGCAGCAGACCCAGCAGCAGCAGCAGCAGCACAAACATTGCTGCCTTTGTCCCCACACAGCCTCTAAGCGTGCTGACATCAGATTGTTAAGGGCATTTTTATACTCAGAACTGTCCCATCCCCAGGTCCCCAAACTTATGGACACTGCCTTAGCCTCTTGGAAATCAGGTAGACCATATTCTAAGTTAGACTCTTCCCCTCCCTCCCACACTTCCCACCCCCAGGCAAGGCTGACTTCTCTGAATCAGAAAAGCTATTAAAGTTTGTGTGTTGTGTCCATTTTGCAAACCCAACTAAGCCAGGACCCCAATGCGACAAGTAGTTCATGAGTATTCCTAGCAAATTTCTCTCTTTCTTCAGTTCAGTAGATTTCCTTTTTTCTTTTCTTTTTTTTTTTTTTTTTTTTTGGCTGTGACCTCTTCAAACCGTGGTACCCCCCCTTTTCTCCCCACGATGATATCTATATATGTATCTACAATACATATATCTACACATACAGAAAGAAGCAGTTCTCACAATGTTGCTAGTTTTTTGCTTCTCTTTCCCCCACCCTACTCCCTCCAATTCCCCCTTAAACTTCCAAAGCTTCGTCTTGTGTTTGCTGCAGAGTGATTCGGGGGCTGACCTAGACCAGTTTGCATGATTCTTCTCTTGTGATTTGGTTGCACTTTAGACATTTTTGTGCCATTATATTTGCATTATGTATTTATAATTTAAATGATATTTAGGTTTTTGGCTGAGTACTGGAATAAACAGTGAGCATATCTGGTATATGTCATTATTTATTGTTAAATTACATTTTTAAGCTCCATGTGCATATAAAGGTTATGAAACATATCATGGTAATGACAGATGCAAGTTATTTTATTTGCTTATTTTTATAATTAAAGATGCCATAGCATAATATGAAGCCTTTGGTGAATTCCTTCTAAGATAAAAATAATAATAAAGTGTTACGTTTTATTGGTTTCCCCCCATGTCTTTCATTGTTATTCTTGAAAAACTTATTGAATGAGAATTTCTGAACATGAACCACAGACTGGTTGGTTTCTTTAAAGTCACTAATTGTCAATATGTAAATTTGACATATTGTTTAAGTCAACATTTCCTAAGTTTTTTAAAAAACATTGAGTGACTCCCATTATTCTCACTGATGGTATCCCAAACTCCTTACAAAGTTGGAAGAAGCTTTAAGGTCTACAGGCTGCTCAACTGTAAGACCCAACTTTCTTTCTGTTCAGTGACCTCTACGCTCCCACCACATAGGCAGTTCTGGGAATGATTGGGATCTGTCCCTTCCAGGTCTTTTATTTATGCTATTGTCTCTTTTTGGAAGATTTTTTTTCTCCATCCTTCACTCAGACTGAAAGCATGATGGGGAGAAGCGCGTGCTTGGTCACCAGTGTGTTCCCAACGCTAAAATAGCATCTTCAATACTTTAAATGAATGATTTAGAAAGAGTTGGAGGAGGGGGAAAAAGACAACTGAATCAGTGTGACAAGGAAGGCAGATAGCTCTGCAGTTAAAACAAAAGATTTGAATTCAGTCTCTGTCACTCATTAACCACATGATGTCAGAAGAGTTTCTTAATCTCAAAACACATCAATTTCTCCCTCCGTAAAATGGGGATTGTGACAGTCATCTCACAGAGCTGCTACAGGGAAATAAAACAAGTGAACTGCTTACAATATTCCCAATATACGATTATGCTCAACGAGGGTCAGCTGTTATCATACAAGTTGCGACAATGAGAGCAAAAGCTCCCTATCTCAGAAAATGGTCAAAGACTTCACAACAGAATGACAGCTGGGTCTTGAAGGATGCTTATGAGTTTGGTCACATAAAAAGGGGAGCTTCGGTGGTATAATTTTTTTCAAGAGACACCTTATATAAGAGACACCTTTAATTGTGAAGGTTATCTTCACAATTAAATATTAGTGAATTTTTCCCATATTTTAAATTCAAATGGGGGCATTTTTCTCAACATCATTCATTTCTAGCTCCAAATTGCATTTTCCCAAGTTCAGTTATGCCCAAAGCAACTAATAAATAGTACATGAATTGTCACTTAAGGGCCAAATACGTACTGCACTTGCTTTACTCTGACCTGGCCAAGGAAAAAGAGCACATTTCTTTTATTATTATCCTTCATCCATAGTCTCCTATAAATATTTATTTATACAGAGAGACTGCATGCTGCACTGTAGTATAGTGTTTAAAAAAAAAAAAACAGACCTGGGATTTGTATAAACTGAGTTTAAACCTTAGTTCCTCTACCATTTCTGTGGCCTTGGGCCAAGTGTCTCATATCTTCACACTTTAGTTTTTTTCATTTATGAAAATGCCCCTACAAAATAGGGACAAATAGTAGGCCTTAGTTCCAAAAGTAACTGAGAATTCAATGTGTTACATATAAAGGACTTAAAATAGTGTCTACCATATAGCAAGTACCCAAAGAATAGAATTCCTCGAGCCCTCAATACATGTAACTCTCACCATTTACATTAAAGTTATTCCCATCACTTAGATTCTACTCTCACCCTCACTGTGAGTATTGAGGTACCATTTTGGATGAAGAATGTTTTTCTGACTTTTTCCTTTTGTAGGTCACCAAACATTATTATTTAATTAAGATTTTATAAATCTGTTTTTTTGTTTGTTTGTTTGAGACAGAGTCTCACTCTGTCACCCAGGCTAGAGTGCAGTGGTGAGATCTCAGCTCACTGCAACCTCCGCCTCCCGGGTTCAAGCGATTCTCCTGCCTCAGCCTCTGGAGTAGCTGGAATTACAGGTGCCCACCACTATGCCCAGCTAATTTTTGTAGTTTTAGTAGAGAAAACTGCTAATCTGAGCAACAAAAGACTCACCAACAAACATGGTTAGATATTAGCCTGACCTATGCAAAGCATTGTGTTAGAGAGCTAGAACACAGAGAGACTATATCCACCTGCAAGTCAAGCTCCATCATATTTCCTGTATCCTTAGCTATTTTGTCACATAGTCATTCTTCTAATACCCCTCTGCTCACTAATTCTTCTTCCCTATGCTCAAGCTCTACCACAAACTGCAATCCTCATGACCCTTTGATTTGATTTTTTTTACCTCAAAGAAGAACTTGAGAACCTAGGTGAGACACTGCTTAAGCCTATCCTACCACCCTACTGTAAAATCTAAAGAGCAATGCACATCGCTCCATTTATAAATAACTAATTAAAGCCTGATTATTAAATAAGTGTCAACTAAGTACCAGTATGCTTCTCAACACTATGCCTGTATGACCCACAGCATACTAAGCTGAGAACTCACTGATTCCAATCCTTATCTGCCAATTAAATACATCTCTGCTCCCCCTCAGGACTAAGGGATCTGTGGCTTCCACTTGAGGACAGAATGTTGTTCTTAACTCCAGCACAATTAAGTCACACTGCAGGTGTCCTCTGCTATAGGAAAACCAGACACAGTATATGTCCCGCAAGAGACTAGCTGTCTCCAACATGTGGTCACAGTCCTGGAACCAATTCCAATGACAGCCCACTCACTTGTCCTGGGATTTCTTGGAAACTCAATCACTTCTGTCCATAGCTCTCTCCGGCCACACTAGCCTAAGTTCCTTTCCTCCCCATCTTGTATGCATTGGGAGGCTGCTAGGACTAATTATCTGGAAACCTTGAAGCCTGCTAATCCCTTCATGCCTTATATTCTGGTCATCCAAACTCACACTCAAAATGTAAGCCTCCGCAATCATCTAGCTCCTCCTGTCTGCACATTCCCATATGGCTTTATGTTCCTCCCTGAGTCAATCTCCCACTACTCTCCTCCTTCCAAAATCTGTCCATTCCACGGTTTTTAAAACATTTCTACGACATCTTCAATCTCTTCTTTAATATTCCCTCCAGTGTCCTGTCTTAACTGAAACCTGGTTTCTCAAGAAAAGTTGTCCCGTGCAATCCTCCCAAATGGACGCTTATTATTCCAAGTCTCGAGATTGACAAAAGGGGTTCATGTGCCTCTTTTCCCAATGCTGTTCCAGATATAATTCTGCTACTGTCCTATAGAGCTTCTGATTGACTGAGGGCATACCCCTTTCTCCTCTCTACATCACTGTTATCCAGTCCGAAAATACCTTGGAATGATATTGACAGAAATTGCCTCTCATTGATCAATGATGTTCATGTCAGATTTATGATTTTCCTTTTCATTCTCAAGTCTCATCATAAGTCTGGGAAAATTCAATATTTATGTGAGTGATTCATCCAGTACTCAAACTTACAATCCTTCTTTGGCTCCAATAATGATAACCTGCATTCCCTAGCCACACCCTAGAAACAGGAGGTACACACCAGTATGGCTGTACTGGCTGTTCACTCTGACTGGTCATTCTCCATGTCATGCCAGTTACATATGTTAAATATCACCCTTTTCTGAAACTGATGCAATTCTGAAATCCAAAATCTCCCCTTCTAACTATGGCTTCTTTTCCTTACAGCTCTCCTATTCACTTCTTTGCACTATACCCATTCTTTAAGCTCCATTCCCTTGATTCTTCTACATTCTCCTGATCTTTCAACACCTCTCCTATCATCATCTCCTCTCTGCCCAACCATGAACCCATGGTTAATCACTTCAACCATACCACTGCACTGCCCTCAAATAGCTTGCCTCATCAATCTTTTGCCACACTCAACTGGAAAAATTCCAGCCCTGGAGTCTGCCTTCTCCGCTAGAGAAAAAAAAATCATAAATCCATGAACAGATTTGGTGTCACTTAAAATTTGTCAGCTTCAAGTTCAACAAGACCCTCAGTGTTGCCTGGGAATTTTCTTATCCTTCCCTGCTCAGTTTCCTTTTCTACTCTCCATAGCAACTATTAAAACCTTCTCCAATCCATTCAAACCTCCCACCCAGCCACCTCCCTTCTAATGCCCAGGAGAAAATCTTGCCTCCTACTGCACAGACAAAATAGAAACCATCACATGGCAAATTCCTCAATTCCCTGCCACCATACCCGTCCACACCTATCCTTTGTTATTTTCTCCTGTCATAAAAGGTACAGAACCCCCCTTCCTATCTCAGACTAATGAGTCCACCTGAATCCTAGATGCCACTCATGACAGACCTTCTAGCCTGCAGTCATTCATTATTAGCACCCTCTCTCTACTTCAGCCTCCATGATCTCTACAGCCTAATCAGCACCTGCTCCCCTCTGCTTCCCCTCAAAACCATCTGTCTTTCAGCTGCCACCATATACTTCTCACCCCTTCAAAACCAACCTTCTCTAAAGAGATGTCTGAATTTACTTTCTTCTTTTCTTCACCTCTAATTCAATCTTTAACCCTTTAGAATCTGGCATCCATCACCAATGAAATACCTACCAACAAGGTCAAAGACTCCTCATCGTTAAGTCCAGAGGACGCTCTCCATCCTTTGTCTTAATTAATTAATCAGTGCCTTTTGGCAGCGGTAAGCATGCTGTTCTCCTGAAAAGGCTTTCCATGACAACACTGTTTCCTTTCTCTCTAAAGGTTCCATCTCAATCTTTACCTTCCCTTCTCATTTTTTAAATAATGGAGTTACTTGGCATTTTCTGGGGGCCTTTCTTGTCTTCTCATTCTATATACTCTTCTTTGGCATTCTGGTCTGTTCTTCTATTTCAATTGCTGTTGATGTATTAATAACTCCAAGACTCTTTATATCCCTTGAAAACTCTATTGAGTTTCAGATCTACATATCAAACTGGAGAACTCTGGTGTATGACAGCCACTAAAGTCTTAATACATTCAAAACTGAACTCTCTCCAAACCTCCTTCCTTCTTAAAGAGACTATTCCTCCTCTGTGTTCCCAAGCTCAGTGAATGACATCCTGATCCCCCTGAAATATGGATACCATCTTTGACTCCTCTCTCCTCACCCCTCTCAGAAAATCATACCCATTGATTCTTCTTCCTAATTATCTCTCAAACACGTCCATTTATCTACATTGGCATTAGGCCCATCCTTAGGAGCCCCCTAAATTCTCTCTCAGATTCAAGGAATACCTGGAATCTGCCCCTAACCCCAAATCCATTCCCTCCCTTGGGGTCAGAGGACTCTTTGCAGAGAGCAAATCTGATTCTGTCAGTTGTCTTCCTGAAAACCAACGATGTCAAATCTAAACTATCAGAAAAAGACATCCACATTGCTTAGTATGCAATGTAAAAATGCTGCATGATCTGGCCACTTCTTACTTTTCAGCCTAATCTCTTGCTAAAAAACGGAACCCCTACTCTACCCCTCCCACTATGAGCTCCAGTCTTGTATGTAGTATATGCAATTCCATGCATTTACCTTGCTTTCCTTTTTTTAAATTTGTGTACATTTAAGGGATACAACTGCTCCTTGACCTTTGTTTATACCATTGTATTAACTATGCATTAATACTTTGCTAATATTATTCCACCTCACTGGCCTGCACACACACACGTATTTCTATGTCTGGCTAACTACTGTTAATCCTTTAGGATTCAGTGTACTCATCTCTTCCTCCAAGAAACATCCCATGACTACCTAAGACAAGTTTAGGTACCCATTCTACCTGTGTCCAAAGCATCTAATGGTTACCTCTTGATATGGCTTGACTGTGTCCTCACCCAAATCTCATCTTGAATTGTAGTTCTCATAATCCCCACATGCATGGGAGGGACCAGGTGGAGATATTTGAATCATGGGGGCAGTTTCCCCCATCTTGTTCTCATGATAGTGAGTTAGTTCTCACAAGAGCTGATGGTTTTATAAGGGGTTTCCCCCTTCGCTGGGCTCTCATTCTCTCACCTGCCACCCTGTGAAAAGGTGCCTTCGCCATGATTGTAAGTTTCCCAAGACGTCCCCAGCCAGGCGGAACTGTGAGTCAGTTAAACCTCTTTCCTTTGTAAATTACCCAGTCTTTGTCTTTCATTTATAAATTACCCAGTCTCAGGTATGTCTTTATTCGCAGTGTAAGAATGGAAGAATACACCTCTTTATTAGATGATTTAATGTGCTTATTGACTTGTTTTTCTTCCCTCCCTAGACTATATGTTCTTTGAGAGCTAGGTAAGTGTCATTTTACAAAATTGTACACTTATTGCCTATTGTTTAGCACAGTGCTCGGTACCTAATAGGTACTCAGCAGATACTTGTTTAATTTAATTGAAGGAAGATATGACCTAATTAAATTAAAAGGTAGTCACTCTGTTTTCAGAAAATTTGTTCTGGGACAATAGCAAGACACATGTGAGATATACAAAAAGTTCTTACCATCTATAGGCATAAGCACTCTGGTAGAAAAAGCAGCAAAAGAAATAAAAGCAAATTCCAAAAGAACAAATACAATTGACTATTGCAGATGAAAAATGCTCAAGTTACACACATTTTCACCAGTCTAATTGGAAAATATTTTTTAATAATAATTTCCAGAGTGGATCAGTGTTTGAAGAAAATAGAACTTTCAAACACTACTGATGAGAATGCAAAATAGAGTGCCTTGGTTGTGTGGTGGGGGGGAATATTATTTTAAACCTATACAAGGTCTTAAAATTTTACAAATTCTTTGAACTAGAATTTACTTCTAGAAATGTAGTAGGAAATGATATACATATGTAACATTTTATGACACAGATATTTATCACAAAACTTTTCTGTTGCCAAACAAATCAAAATAATCTATATGTTTAACAATAGAGTGATTAAGGAATTTGTGATGAAACAACATTTACTTATTAAAAAGGATAAAAAACATTGCCAGTGATACAGGCTCAAAAAATAAAAAATAAATGTAAAAAAAGTCTATTTATAAACATATACATACAGGTAGAAAAATAATTTAGTAAAATACGTGATATTATCTCCTTTTTGTAAAAACATTTATATATGCACCATGGAATACTGTACAGCCATAAAAAAGAACAAGACCATGTCTGTTGCAGGGACATGGATGGAATTGGAGGCCATTATCCTTCACAAACTAACGCAAGAACAGAAAACCAAATACCACATGTTCTAACTTGTAAGTGGGAGCTAAATACTGAGAACACATGGACACATAGACAGGAACAACACACACTGGGGCCTACCTGGGGGTGGAGGGTGGATCAGAAAAATACTTAATGAATATTAGGCTTAATACTTGGGTGATGAAATAATCTGTACGACAACCCCCACGACACACATTTACCTATGTAACAAAACTGCACATCCTGCACATGTACCCCTGAACTTAAAAGTTTTTTAAAATGTGTATAAGGGTATATATATATATATATATATATATGTACCCATATACATGCATATATAAAAGGCTAGAAGGTTATATTTTAGAAGGTTGGTAGTGATTGTTTCATAGGGTTGCTTACCATTTTGAGTTTGGGTTTGAGGGGTTTTTTCAGTATTTTTACAAGATACCATATTTTTGTAGTAAGACAAAAGTAAGATTTTTTTTTAAAAATCACAATCAAAAAGCAGGCCTTCAACAAATCAGTCACTTACTACCATAAAACTACTCTGGATTGACCTTAAAGGATCCAAAGTATCAATACCATGTTCTAACCATAGGTATTTATATAAAAGGCCTCTTTAAAGTAGCAAACACTTTTGTCATGTTTGATTACTAGCTATTCACATATACATCCAATGATTTTAATGTTTAAGACATATGTGTCTGTTCCCAGAAAACTGCTGAGTCACACAACTCAAGGTCAAGGCGATTCATACAACATGCAACACCAAGATCCAGCTCCTACTAAGTGCTAGGCTCCAAAGCAATCACAGCCTGGGACTAACAACCACCTTCACCCCTACAAGATGATTACAGTTCATAATTTTTTTATCGTTTTCTTTAGTGAATGGAAAGTACTTCCTGCCAGCATACTAATTTACTGTTCCTTCTCCATGATGATAAAGCCATCATGATGACACATGCTTTGAGCTGGCTTCCCAGGTGGCAAAATCCATTCACACCTGATCTCTGCCCCCTCCCCACTCTTCTTGGCTCTATGGCATTTGGCTCTTCTCATTTGCAAGGTAGCTTGCTATAAGGCAGGTTCTGCCTATGCTCAGGAAGAAGCAAAACCAGCTGTCTTGCTTTTAATCAAACTCCTTCCTCAGTCCAGGCTATTCTATAGACTAATGAACTAGTCTAATATACTAATGAACTAAAAATCACTTGCCTTGTTAGACTCTGGAGGGGAAATAGCAGACCTGGAAATGAAGATTAACAGAATCCAAAGCCACTCTGTGATACTCTGCCGGAGAAACCAAGCACAGGGGTCGCCCACCCCAAAATCAGGACATACACTTTGACAAATGGGCAAAAGAGTCAACAAAGAAGAGCATTGGAATCTGTACTCTCTCATAAAGGCTGGGCTATAAGGTCACCATGCCCAAAAGGACTACCCCTACCCTGTCCCACTCCATCTATCTTTTAGGAATATTCAACCTCTAACAACCAGAAATAAGCCCAGTGTAAGCCCAGGGCTTAGTGCAAGAAAACTGAATTAGCAATAGTGCTTTGCTACAGGGCTTCTGCCAGCTGGGTGACGCCCATGCCCCCAGTTCTGCTTCCCCTCGCCTTTCCTTTAACAACTCTGCTCTGCCAGAACACTCTCTTGGCCTTGAGCTCAATGGCTATGGCAAGAGTGTGTATGATCCTCATTCCAACTTCTCTTGAACCCTCCAACTCTTCTCGGCAAGTCCTGCTGAGCTCCAAAGGAAGCCAATTCCAATTATGTGCCTGGTCAACTCTCTTTCCTAACTTACTACCCACTTCCCGCATTCTCCTGGAAGAGCAACGAGTTATATAACTTCACAAGATGTCCGAACCACGACAGCCTCAGTATACTCAGATAGTGGAAATAATCTCCCCGTAAAATAATTTCATGGAGCCACTTAACAGAGTAGCTGCAGGAGCCTGGCTGAGAGCCAGTGTCTCCTGCTGCCAAAAGCCAGTTTCCTTTTATCTTTCCTTTCGTGCCACTTTCTTTTCACTTAAGGTTAATGTTCCTGGGCCTTTTGAAACAGGTGACTCTAGCCATGTTAATAAAGCAAGGTATGATAGCATCTTCTATGACTTCAGATGTCAAACACTGAAGAGAAGAGAGGGGAAAGTACTTTTAAATGACCACATCCTCTTAATAACATTCCAAGGGAGAGACTGCTTATCTTGATTTTAATTTTTCAGTCTCCTTTCATCTCTTCCTCTAAAAATACAACTCAGAGAAAGATTGCCCATGAAGTACTTATTGGAACGGCAACCAATAGTTAGTGGGAGCTGGCTGGAATATGGGGCAGATTAAGGGCAAGGGTTGGAAGGGGAAAGTGACAATGGGGCCTGATGAGAATACACTTTATACTCTGTAAGCCCAGGCACAGGTCATAAACACAGACATGAACACATTCAAAATTTAAAAGTAATTTGAACAAAACATTGCCTGAAGTTCACCTCTGAGTTTCCTCTGAAGAAACAGCTAATCAAGACAATACTTAAAAGAGACAAACTTAGGGAGAGAACATTTAGCTTACTTAGGAAATTAAATTGTTTGCCACCTGCAAAGAAGATCTGATGTCTTAAGTTATTCTTACCTGGTCTTAAACCTTGCGACTTTAAATCTCTATTGGCCAATATGACAATATTTCCCTTTATATGAAAGTCAGACTTCCAGAAACTTCAGTGTTGATCAGTGTTGTTCAGAGTGTCTGATCCATGATCCACCTGTATCAGAAACACATGGGATTCTAGGCAGTTTCTAGGCTCTGGTTCCCTGGAGTTCTCTCTCACCCTATCTCCTTCCCTAACCAACCTTCTGAATCAGAATCTCTGCTGGAATTTATCAGTTTGGAGTCTAGAAGAAATCCTAGCAAGACATTTCTGACAGGTTGGGTGGATATAGGTAGTCAAACCAATATAAAAGATCTGGATCCAGGGATTCAACTAAAAATAGAAATAAAGAATTCTGGACATCCAGTCCAGAGCCCCTAGTGTTAATGCCTGGGCAGTGATCAGTAGTACTTTTAATTACTAATGAGAAAAGACGGAGCCTGGTGAGAACTCTAGATCAAATTTAAGAAAAGGAGTTAGAAAATTAAATACCACAGACAATGACAACATTCTGTTAGCAGAGGTTCAAATCCAGAGACAGAAGTCCTGGAGCAAAGATCAAAACCCAGAGACAGAGCAGATGATCAATAAATATAGAAAGAGCCATAGTTAGCAGCAAGATAAACAGGATGGGGGTGCTAAGGTCACCTGAAAAAGGAACTCGAGCTGGGACAAGACATGTTCACACAAGCACATCTGGTTAACAAGAGCAAATGAGTCCAGGCCGCTCCCAACATCAGGGTCTCCCTGAACTCAACACAATACAGGGGTTTCCATAATGATGCCTTTTGTTAAATGCACAAAGCCTACAACAGCTGGAATACACCACCCCAGGGAGGAAGGATGAGGGACACAGGCACGTGGGAGGGGGAGGAGTTGACATCTCTTTACATCCCCAGGCTGAGTTTTAACAAGGGCAAGATAACGCAGCATTAGCCCCATGTGCAAGCTCCAGGAATCAAGACACTCAAGGACCGGCCCTGGAGGCACAGGCACATCTGTTTAAGAAGCTTTCCCTTTACTCAGCATTGAGCAATTGGCCAGGCAAGAGGCTAGAGCAGGAACAGGAGTTTCTTCCCCTCTCTAGCTCTTTCTCCCGCCTGTTAACCAGCATGGTGGGCAGCATGAAATGACATAAAATCAACATTTATTGAGAACTTACCAGGGGCATCATGCTAGTTGCTTTTATATGTACTATTTAATAGCCCCAATGACTCTGAGAAGTAAGTTGTATTATCCCCATTTTACAGGTAAGAAAGCCAAGCTCCAGAGACGTTAAGGAACCTGCCCAAGGTCAGGTTTTTGTAAGCACTCTGACTCTTGTAAGCATCAGAGCTGACTCACCCTTTGAACTCTAGAACCATGGCTTTCCTATGACTCCACACTCTACGCCTTGTTCTTGCTCCTGCTGCTTAAGGCCCCCTCTCCAACTCTCTCCACGTGTTAGGATGTTTCCCAAACTTCAAGGCCCAGCTCAGTTCCTAACTCCTACAGGAAAGTTCCTCTGAGCCATCCACCTGTGCCACCCTCTTTCTTCTTATATGCCAGCAAGGACAGAAAACTAAGTGGTCGGCCACAAGACAAGCGTTTGAAGCTGAAAATCAGAGACAGTGCAATGTTAGGCTGCCAGAAAAAAAAAGAAGAAAATCAAAACATAGTTAGTGGTGTATATATATATATATGATGGAATACTACTCAGCCATAGAAAGGAATGGGTTAATCACATTCACAGTAACCTGGATGGCATTGGAGACTATTATTCTAAGTGAAGTAACTCAGGAATGGAAAACCAAACATCGTATGTTCTCACTCATAAGTGGGATAGGAGCTAAGCTATGAGGATTCTTATGCAAAGGCATAAGAATGATACAATAGATTTTGGGGACTGAGGGAGAAAGGGTGGGAAGGGGGTGAGGGATAAAAGACTGCAAACTGGGTTCAGTGTATGCTGCTCGGGAGATGGGTGCACCAAAATCTTACAAATCACCACTAAAGAACGGACTTGTGTAGCCAAATACCACCTATTCTCCCAGAACCCATGGAAATTAAAAAAAAAAAAAAAGTAAAGGAAAGAAAACAAAGTACTGTATCTTCTAAATATAAAAAATAATTTTTTTTAAATATCAAAACACAGTTACAGTGATCGAAGTAGAGTGAAGGTTGACCCCAAGTGTAATTAGCAGGTAAGTCAAGAAAAGACAAAGCTTGTCCAAAAACATGAAATAGGAAGAGTCTGTGAGTCATCCCAAGTTTTGAGATGGCCAGAGTTAACAGGGAGACCAGGCACGACCACCCGGTCATTCCAGAGTCTATCCCAGGGCTGCCTTTGAGGAGCAGACTCCTTCTGCCAGAGCGGGGCTTGTGCCCACCCTAAAAGCAAGGCAATCAGACCCCAGAATCTGACACCGTAATTTCCATCAGAACCCCTCACCCAGAACCAGAAAGTTCCCCACCCTTACAAGGTGATTTTAGAAGCACTGGGAATGCCACTGCTGGTCCCCCAAAATATTCACCATCACTACCACCACCTCACGAATGCCTGAAGTGCCTTTGGTTGTGGAATAGAACTTGATGGACATTTCATGGACTCCACTTCCCTCCCATCAGCACTGCTATAATTGCCCCTCCCTGCTCGTCCAGTGGAAACCGGCATAGGGGAGGAGTGGCCAATATCTGATAGAAGCTCTGTGTACACCCTTCATGACCTTTGCGCCACTACAGAGGACCTAAGAGACGCAAAACCCTACTGCAGGAGAAAAGACACACACAAAAACATCGAGCATGTCATCAGTGGACAGCGAGTCAGTACCAAGTTTCCAGGCTGGAAATGTCGATACTATTCCTGGCTGTCACTGATTTGTCTCTGTGATGTTGGACAAGTGCCTAAACCTCTCTGTACTTTCATTAATTCATGAACAATATGTCTAATTCCTGTCTCATAAGAATGCTGTGAAAATTCATGAGCTTATAAAAAACTAAACAAAACTAATGTAAAAGTCTTTTGTATGCCCCAGAGATGCTATAAACACCAGGTGATCTAATTCAAAATACAGATGTGCATTTCCACTTATGTGAGCCAACACAAGAACATTCCATTTTAAAAGGCAATTGCTCTTTGGTTTTTCTTTTTTTAATGAGGGTTCTATGATGAAAACAGAACATCCTATAAGTGGAAGAAAATTAACGTTAAGTACTCAGTATTAATAACTTTTATTGAGTGCTTACTATATGCTAGATGCCATGCTATGCATGTATTATCTCATTTAATCCTTAGAGTAACCCACTGGGGGTTGGGGGAAATGTCCTGTTGCCCTATTCACAGATAAGGAAACACAAATTCTGAGAAATAAAGTAACCAGCCCAAAGTTACATATGTGATCAGTAGCAGAGAAAAGATTTGAACTTCAGGCCTGCCTAGTTCCTCATCCATTTCTTTTTCCATTAAACCATACTGCCTCCCCCAGCAGATATGTAAACCCCCTGGGCCACTTAATGTTTGTAGCATATTAAATGCAAAAAAAATAAGAAAAGAAAAGTACAAGTTTCATCTAGCGGCCAAGGGAGAAGGCTTAGAAATGTAAATGCTCGTTAACTCTAAAGACAATATACAATATAAATTATCTATAAAATTAACAAATCAGTAGGAAAATAACATGTGATGTGTGAAATTCTTTACATTTGCCCTTCCACTCAGCTCATTTTGGAGATCGTATTTATGATGGAGGTTTCCAGGAGCACAGAATTCAATGGTCCCTGTGGAGAAGGGCACCTGCTGCCTGGGACCAGACCCCCTCCAGCCCTAACATGCTACACAACCTTAGGCAGGTCACTTCCCTTCTCCAGAGAATCAGTATGATTGAATAAACATGACCAAGAACCAATCAATCATCAGGCACTGGACCAGACGGCCTTTCCCAGCTACAAAGTTCCAGGACTCCAGGAAAGCACCCCAGAAGCACAGAGCACAGTGTAGTTCACCTGGCATAAATTACCATGTTAAATTTTTTCCAACATCCAACTTATTGCTGATGAGAATAAGAAGGACTAAAAGGGACTCAAACTGCTGCTAAATCAGTTCCTTGTTGCAAATCTGACAAGCCCTGACTTTAAATTTCCCCTCTCTGCAGCCTGACAGCTCAGTGATCTGATGATTAACACACCATCCTCCAAAGGGAACAATTGCCTTCTGGCCCCAGGGTGGGTTGGTGACCCTGGGCTTCCTTCAGCCCACGTGGTGTCCACCTGTTTCCTCTCTCTCAGCCATGCAGTTCTCAAGACACTGCCTAAAACCCAGAAGCACAGAAGAAAATGATCCATTGCTCTGAGCCCTAAGAGTGGAGCTGAGTTGAGTCAGCCACTCAGGGTAGAGCTGGAATCCTCCCTCTCCAGCCTCAATAGCTACATCTGAGACCACTGGGGTTCCTCCAAGCCATCTGCAGCCTCCATCTCTCCTCCCAGCCAGAAAGTACATAGTATAGTGGGGAGAGGGAAAGAATTGATCTTCCTAGAAAGACCATAAGGGAGGTCAAAAGACCAAGACGTGAGCATTCATGGGGCCAATATCACCTATATAACTTTACGTGAGGTCATCCTCAAGCTTATAGAAAACTCTTTAATGTCTAAAACCCAGGATGCCTTATTTGTTCATTCCCTTAGTTTTTGTTCCTTTTGTCCCATCCAAGGCTGAATTGAGCCCCATGTTGCTTCTAGCCGAGGTTGGAGCGGTATCCTGGGGCTGGAGCTCAGTCAGTGAAGTGGTCACTGTAAGCAGAACAGATCCAGGAGTGAGGACCCAAGCTCAGCTGAGGGGTACCCATCCTGGGCCCCTGGGCCAGGCCACCCCTCCTCCAAACCATGGGACCGAAGACCAAAAACAAAAAGTTCCAAGAACTCCAGATTCACTCTCTGTAGTTGTCTCAGACTTTCTAGTTCTATCTTTGCTCTTTTCCTGTTCATTTGTTTCTGGCTGCTCCATTTCAATGTCCACTCAACTGCTAGCCCTTTTACTTTCCTTTTAAATTTCTGGCCATTCCTTATTACCCTAGACTAGATTATGGGTGCTGCTTCTTTACTGGTACCAGGGCAGGGGAAATATTACACATGGACTTTGCAATCCAACAGATAAGGATTGGGTCCCAGCTCTGCCATTTATTAGCTGTGTGAGCTTGAGCAAATTATTTTAAACTCTCCTATCTTCAATTTCCTCATCTAAAAAATGAGGTCACTAAATACAACCCACACAGGGTTGTAGGGAAGATTCAATAAGATAAGGTGTATAAAGTTCAAAGGCTGGTGGGACCTCAGGAATGGTCACACCCATCCCCTGGCTCTTTCCAGTCCCAGTCCCCAGTCAAGTATCTACCTCAACACAAGTCAACCCAGTATAGCTTCTGATGAGTGTAGGCCCTCTTCCCAGCCAGGATCATTCAGACGTGGCTTGCGGTGGTGAGGGTTGGTCGGGGGAGACAAGAAGAGCAGCCAGTTAGCGCTAGGGAAGAGGTTGGTATATACAGACCCAAAGAAAATGCAGACACAGAAAGAGGAGGCAAAGCAAGAGCCCAGTGCCAAGGAAGCGTCCCCAACTTGGGTTGAAAATGCAGTGGGAGTGCTTGGAGCTTAGCTGCATGTGGTGCTAACTACATGGATCTTCAGGAGGCATAGGAGTTAAAAGGCAAGAGCTAAACAAAACATGCACAAAATAATATCCAGGAGATGTAATTGTTTATGCCCCCTTAGCTGTACACATCTCAGTCTCAAAGGGTTTCCCTTCCCTTCCTAAGAACAGAATTTTGACAGAGGGGAAGTAAGGATGAGAGGACCGTGGAGGAAAGAAAAGAAACAGCATCAAGGGACAAGAACAACTTACAAAGGAGAGAGCATAGCCCCAAAACAAAATTGTCACATCCTCAATTTTCTATTCCTTTGGAAAGAACTGCAAGTTCTTTTTCCAGGTGGTAAGTACATCTTGTGTCCTTAATACCAAGATAGGGGAGTCTACACGGATGAGTAAATAAATACCACAATGCAAGTTGCTTTCAGACTCTTAAGACACTCTATCCACCCTATGACTGCTCTTGACACAAGTCCAGAATCCCAGCACCAGACCACATGAGGCCTGGCCAAGGGTATCAGCACTTGGTAGGGCCTCCTCCAACCCAATCCCACGTATACCACCCACTCACTGAAACCCACCTTTCCTTGCTTTTTCATTCCCTGGCTCCACAACCCAACTCTTAAGAGGCAGCCTGGTATAGTGGTTGGAAGTGAAGATGCTGGAGCCTGACCACGTTAGTTCAAATCCTAATTCTCCTAGTTGTATACATTTGGGCAAGGTACTTACCTTCTCTGGACCTTGAGTTCTTCATCTGTAAAGTAGGGGATGGCAGTTCCTACTTCATAAGATTCTCATTCAGATTAAATAGCTTAATAAAAACAAAAAGCCTATCTGATAGTAAATGCTCAGTAAATTATTAATACCTGCTTTCAATCCCTCTCCTTGGTCTGACAACCAACTTTAGATTCCTTGTACTGGAATTCTGAACTCCTCTTCCCAATAGACCGCTAAGTACTAGTGCCAGTACTTCATCTACTGTTTAAGAAGAGCAATTGTCTGCACCAGCTCCCTGCCAACCTTACCAAGAGTCTTGACCAACCAGGCAAGCCCTCCAGGGTGCCTGCAGGAGAAAAAGTGAGGACAGTTCATTGATATGATGTCATGGAACACTCTAAGTGTACCTTTAATAAGGGAACTTGAATTGGACCGCAGATGGCAAATATCTCCCTGAAAATTATTGCATGCATAGTTCTTATGCTCAACCTCACTCAGCTACAGTTTCTTAATCTGTAAATGGAAGTGTTGGAGAGACCAGCGTTTCCTAACCTTCTCTGCATTACACGTACCTTTGAAAATCTGGTAAATGCCATCAACTCCCTTTGAGTCTACAGTACAGACCCTAGGTTAAGAAGCCCTGGACTAAATGATTTCCAAAACATACACATAAATCCAGTTAAGAAAAATAAGACAATATAAGGCAAATTGACTTCATCTGGTATGCACTGTTATGTCTGTGCTGTTAAAATCTTGAAATACTTCTATTCTGGGTGGCAAATGGCATCTGTCCCAAAGCACTCCCACCTCTGCGCTCCCCACTATTCTGACCACTCTGACCCCTTGCTCAGGCCTTAAAGGCCTCTCCATCATTCAGCATATATAGGGAAATATCTGGCACAGAGAAGGGCCTTTGGAGTCATGTGCTAGCACTATGGCCAGCAGCCATTATGATCAGTTAGTGCTCAGTGTTTTGAACAGCATTCCTAGTATATAATAAATCATCAAAGAATGGTGCAAACAAAAATGGCCTAGGAGATCAGAGGGTGTTAGAAAAGTTTCATAGAGAAGGTGACATCTGAGCTGGGCCTTGAGATGGCTTAGGATGTAGATAGCATGGGGGGAGGAGCCCATTCCAGAAATAGGAACAGAGTCAGACGAGACAAAATATAAGGAGTGTTCCATGAACAGCAGGGAAACCAATTTGTGTAAGCAGATGACACATGAGGAATAAAAGTGGGAAGGCAGGCAGGTACCAGCCTGGGGAAGGTCTTCAATGGCAGGCTAAGGAGTTTGAACTTCACCCTACAATGGAGAATCAGCCCTGTCTTAAATCCGATGAACAGCTAGATTTGTAGCTCGGATATTTCCACTAGTTTAACTACATCACATTATTCTAAAATTTCCCGAATTCATGGAGTGAAATGAAAAATTCAGGAAATAAAAGGAAGTATATTGTAAAAGCAGATTATAATAAAGCCCAGGGGCATTGAATTTCAGCCCGAGTCAACCTCATTCAATACCTCAGAGTCTCCAATGCCCTACCAAACTTAGATATTTGACAACTGGATAATTTGAGTTCCAGTACATCATTTTCTCCTAAAATGTTTAGAAATTTTAGAATAATGTGATGTGGTTAGACAGCAGGCTGGGGCCTAGGGGCTGGAACTCAGTGGGGATGGCTGGAACTGGAAGAGCTGGAGGAGGGGAGTAAGTCAAGTTGCTTCTAGAGGATAATCATGATGAAACCTGAGACCCTGAAATCTGTCTTTGTGGAGCCAGATACAGTAAATAAAACCAAGAGCCAAGAGGCAAAGAAAGGCAGTAACAGAGGAAGAAGCTAGAGCAGATGTGAAGTGAGTATGACCAAAGAACTGCCTACGACAGAGCTGTGGTTGCAAGGTGGATTTCAATTCAGTTTCAGCTATGGAATAGGAGTGAGAAGAGTGACCTGGGTAAAATTCATAGGTTTAGGCACATATTAAATAGATTAACCTCTTCCTCCCTTACTAGGACAGATAATATATTGACAACTACTTGTCCTCACTGCTGAAAGTCTATACACACACATAGTCTAAGCACCTTGGTACCTCTTTTTTTAGAGACAGGGTCTCACTCTGTCACCCAGGCTGAAGTGCAGCTGAGTGATCATGGCTCACTGGAGCCTGGAGGATCCCACTGAATTTTGACTCAGGCCAAAATTCAATGCCTCTGGGCTTTATTATAATCTGCTTTTACAATGTACTTCCTTTTATTTTCTGAATTTTCCATTTCACTCCATGAATTCAGGAAGTTTTAGAATAATGTGATGTAGGTTCAAGTGACCCTCCCACCGCAGCCTCCCAAGTAGCTGGGGCCACAGGCACTCACCACCACACCTGGCTAATTTTTAAATTATTCTTTTTAGAGTTGGGGTTTCACCATGTTGCTCAGACTGCTCTTGAACTCCTGGCTTTAAGTGATCCTCCTGCCTTGGCCTCCCAAAGTGCTGAAATTACAGGTGTGAGCCACCACACCCAGCCTGGCACCTCTATTTTAAAAGGTTAACTCCATACCTAAAGATGACTATGAGCTAGAAGTAGGAAAAAAAAAATACATCCTAGGTCTTGATTTAATACTTACCCATTTGAGGACTTCAGAGCAGTTTCTTTGCTCTAGCCCTTGGTGTTTTTCCACTGTCAAACTGTGGCTAATGTGAGCTAAACTTCTGGTGGTTTGGAGGATAAAGTGAGAGAATGTATTGTGAAAGCACTTTGGAAAAGCATATGTGTTATATCCATGTAAGAGATCGTATTATTAAAACAGCTTTGTGGGCTACTTAGTTTTCGATTCTTTCTCTCGAAGCCGGACTAATCCCAAGAACCTAAGCCAATGGCAACCCATTTATGATTATAGTCAAACCATGACTTTTGATTCCTAGACCAGCTCACCCTGACTTGCTTCAGGTTCTTCTCTCAGCTTCACTGAGTAGTTTTACCCTCGGCTTGCCAGAAAAAAAAAGCAGGGCATCTAGTTAAATTTGAATTTAAGACAAACAAAATTTTTTTAGTACATGTATGTTCCAAATCACGCATGAGACATACTGAAAACTGTATCCCTCATTTATCTTCAATTCAAATTGAAATGTGTCCTCTACTGTTATTTGCTGGGTCTGGCAAGAAGCTATTTTATCCTCATACTGACCTCTTGTCTCCTTCCGAACCCAATAAATTTTAATACGGTAATGCTTTTAGTTACCCTTAAAGCAGAAAGGGAGACATCAGCTGCCAATTTCATTCCTCTTGAAAACATAGAATGTCTTTTTATTTATGGATTTATTTCATAAGTAAATTTCAACATTTTTCTCATAACAAGACCATAAAAACAACAAAAAGCTCAGAGATTAGAAAGCCCATCTCACCAGCCCCATTCTGATCTTTATATCTGTGTTTCAGCCCAGCTTACCCAAATAACAAACACTAATCTCAAAACAAAAAGAGAACAAAGAAAACCCTCCCTTGCCCCCAGCACAGACTGTAATCCTGGCCTCCAATTATATCAGTGACATGCAAAGGCTAAAGTAGTGGTTCTTCAATCCCAGATGCACATTGGAAGCAAGGGAGCGTTAGAAAATTCAAAAGTGGCCAGGCACAGCAGCTCCTGCCTGTAATCCCAGCACTGAGGTGGGCGGATTATGAGGTCAGGATTTCGAGACCAGCCTGGCCAACATAGCGAAACCCCATCTCTACTAAAAATACAAAAAATTAGCCAGCATGATGGTGGGTGCCTGTAATCCCAGCTACTCATGAGGCTGAGGCAGGAGAATCACTTGAACCTGGGAGACAGAAGTTGCAGTGAGCCAAGAACACACCACTGCACTCCAGCCCGGGTGACAGTGCAAGACTTCATCTCAACAATAAATTAAAATTTAAAAAAAAAATTCAAAAACTCAAGTCGTACCCCAGGTAAATTATGGCACAAACCCTTGGGGTGGTACTCAGACATCAGTATTTTTTAGCACTCTCATGTGATTTTAGTGTGCTTCTAAGATTAAAAACCACTGCTCAAGCCCTTACTTCTCATTTTTATACCCAGCCCAAGCCCCTTACAAAGATTTAGGAAGATACAGGAATCAGATGGTTGGAGAAGGGGAGCAAAACAGCAGAAAGATATGAAAGATATTGTTGCACCCTCTCAGTCCTCAAGTCCTGAATCTTGATTTTGTCTTTCTTCTATGTTCCTCTAGCCATAGCCACCATTGCCATGGAGCAAATATGTCATCCAAAGCTTGTCACCCAACTTCCTCAATATTAGCAAATAGATTTAAAAGGTGGGATAAAATATGAATAACAACTAATGCTTTTTAAATTTGTAACCTGTTTAATTCTCACAGCCACCTCTGTAAGGTGGCTCACAGTATAAACAAGGAAAGAGAGGATCATAAAAGTTAAGTGACTTGACCTAGGTCACCCAATGTGGAAATGGTCCAGTAAGAGTCAAGATCAGGCTGTTTCTATAACTCAACAATACACCCCACATACAGCTGCCCAGGGCACATGCAGACCAGTTCCAGGGAGCATCATTCATTGTATTATGATACGAATGGTGGCTATACAGCAGAACCACAGACAATGTACACAACCTAATACAGCAGCCCTAAATGGCTTTCCCCCAAATTATCAGAGGCTGTTGATAAATGGACCAAGAATCAGAGTTTTGTGAGTGGGAATCTGATTTTGAGAAAAAGTCTCCTCAATCAGGTATTAAATTCTCTTACATTTTTTGTCCCACCAGTAGGGCAGGCACAAATGAGAGAGAGAGAATAAGCATCAAAAAGAGCATCTTCTCACAGCCACCTCAAGCTCAGCATTTCCTGAACTCTCCCTGCCCCAGAACTGTTCCTCCCCACCACAGCTCGTAACATTTCCTTCCAGCATTTTTCATGTGGTTATTCTAGCCAAAGGACTGGAACTTATTTTATCCCCACACCCTCTCCCGCATTCCCTCACACACAGTAAGTTAAGATGTCCTGACATTTTTAAGTCTTAAATAATTCTCATCTCTCTCCCTAAATGTCCATCCCTAACCCCATATTATAGTAAGGCCCCAGCCTCTCTTCCTTGGACAAAGGAAATGACCTCCCAACTTACCTTCTGAAGGTCAGTCTTTGCCCTTCAACTCCATCCTCCCCATTATAGGGTGATGTCTCTAATGTCGCATTCCTGCTTCATAGGAGAACCTTCAGAAGTTCTCCATTATTTACAAGACTAAGGCTAAATGTGTTAGCATGACAGATAAGGCTGTTCATGAGCTAGCTGCCCATTTCTACCTTGATGCAATGGTTAATTTTAGGTGTCAGTTTGACTGGATTGAAGGATCACCTGGATGGCTGCTGAAGCATTGTTTCTGGCTGTGTCTGTGATGGTGTTTCCAGAAGAGATTGGCCTATGAGTCAGTGGACCGAGAGAGGAAGACCTGCCTTCAGTGTGAGTGGACACCATCCAATCTGGGGACCCAGTCGGGACAAACAGAAGGAAGAGGATGGATTTTCTCTCTACTCCCTCTCTCCCTTTCCAAACAATATGACTTTTTTTTCCTCCTGACTTGGAATATCATACTCCAGATTCTTTGGCTTTTGGACTCTGGGACCTGCACCAATGGCTTAACTAGGGCTCTCAGGCCTTCAGCCTCAAACTGGAAGCTGCACCATCGACTTCCCTAGTTCTGAGGCTTCAGGACATGAACTGGGCCACACTTCTGCCTTCTCTGGTTCTCCAGCTTTCAGAGGGCCTGTCGTGGGACTTCTCTGCCTCCTGTGATTTTGTGAGTCAATTCCCCTAGTAAATCCCCTCTCATATATCCTATTGGTTCTGTCTTTCTGGAGAACTCTCACTTGAACACTTACTTATTATTCTTTGATGAAATCAAACTGATTGTAGTTCCTACTTCATGCCATGTGATTCCACATCAATATGTTTTTATCCATGGTGAATCTCTGACCTGAGCTATCGTCTCCTCCCACCATGCCTTCTTTATCAAATAACATGTGTGCAGTCATTAAGGCTTCCTCATACCTAGTGTGGGGTTAGAGCCTCAACTATTGAGCTCCCATAGCAACTTTTATCATGGCTCTTACTACATTCAATTAAAACTGCCATTTTTGCCTGTCCATGTGACTGACTATCTCAGAGATCACAAACTAATGACCTAAGGGCTAAAAGAAATACCAGATGGTTTTTGTTTGCTTGCAGTATATCTTCTAAAATTCTGTATTAAATGTCAGTATTTAACAAATGATGTTCAACTTCTATCCAACATATAGTAACAAGGATCAGATTTACCCTCCTGCCTGAAACAAGCAAACCAAAGTAAACAAAACAACAAAAAAAAGACAAAACATATGTAACAAAAATTTTCAAGAAACTGCACATCAGGTAATAAAGGGCAATGATCCCTGAAAGATGATAAACAAATGAGATGAACCCTGTCATTGCCCCCAGTATATTGCCTTGAGAAGGTTTCCAAGACAGGGAATAGGAGGAAGAGTAACTTATAAGGAGCTTAAAGCAGTCCCTGAATTGAGGAAATGGAACTGAAAGACTAAGATAGTTAGAATTCACAGGATAAACTATCAGAAAGGAGAGAGATGCACATGGAAAGGACCATGGATATCTGCAGAGTCCCACTTGGGTTTTCAGCAGAATACTAGTCAGAAAATGAGGCCAGGGAAAGAACCATCCAAAAGGACCAGGAAAAAAGTTTTTGGCATTCACATGAAGCCAAGAATATTGGCTATTTTCAACAGCTAGACTAGAGAATCTCATAATTCACAGAGCATTGGGTACAGCTCCCAAAAGGGTCTTGCTTCAGTAGTATGAAATAATTTGCCCTTGATATGTTTAGGCTTTGTGTCCCCACCCAAATCTCATCTTGAGTTGTAATCAATACATGTTGAGGAAGAGAAGTGATTGAATTATGGGGGCAGTCTCTGCCATGCTGTTCTCATGATAGTGAGTGAATTCTCACAAGACCTGATGGTTTTATAAATGGTAGTTTTTCCTGTCCTCACACACGCTCTCTCACCTGCCACCATGTAAAACATGCCTTTTCCCACTCTGCCATGACTGTAAGTTTCCTGAGGCCTCACCAGCCATGCAGAACTGTGAGTCAATTAAACCTCCTCCTTTGTTTATAAATTACCCAGTCTCCGGCAGTGTCTGTATAGCAGTGTGAGAACAGACTAATACACCCCTAAACCAAATACTGCTCTTGCACCACTTACCAAATCTTAAACAGCAAGACACCAAATGAATCAAAATATTTCCAAATATCTCAGCTGTGTGCCTGAACAAGGGTTAAAAATATTTACAAGAATACAAAAACATCTAGCAACTAACAAATAAAATTCACAATGTCTAGAACCCAATCAAAACTTACCAGGCATGCAAAGAAGCCAAAAAAATATGCCTTATAAAGAAAAAATTCAATCCATAAAAACCAACCCAGAACTGAAAGAGATGTTAGAATTAGAATACAAGGGAGTTAAAACAAATATAAAATATAATAGTATTAACAAGTTAAGTAGAAATATGGAAGGTTAGAATGGCAATCATTAAAAAGTCAGGAAACAACAGGTGCTGGAGAGGATGTGGAGAAATAGGAACACTTTTACACTGTTGGTGGGACTGTAAACTAGTTCAACCATTGTGGAAGTCAGTGTGGCGATTCCTCAGGGATCTAGAACTAGAAATACCATTTGACCCAGCCATCCCATTACTGGGTATATACCCAAAGGACTATAAATCATGCTGCTGTAAAGACACATGCACACATATGTTTATTGCGGCATTATTCACAATAGCAAAGACTTGGAACCAACCCAAATGTCCAACAATGATAGACTGGATTAAGAAAATGTGGCACATATACACCATGGAATACTATGCAGCCATAAAAAATGATGAGTTCATGTCCTTTGTAGGGACATGGATGAAATTGGAAATCATCATTCTCAGTAAACTATCGCAAGAACAAAAAACCAAACACCGTGTATTCTCACTCATAGGTGGGAATTGAACAATGAGATCACATGGACACAGGAAGGGGAACATCACACTCTGGGGACTGTTGTAGGGTGGGGGGAGGGGGGAGGGATAGCATTGGGAGATATACCTAATGGTAGACGACGAGTTAGTGGATGCAGCGCACCAGCATGTCACATGTATACGTATGTAACTAACCTGCACAATGTGCACATGTACCCTAAAACTTAAAGTATAATAATAAAAGAAAAAAAAACTTAAAAAGAAATATGGAAGGTAAATTAAGACAAAGATGCAATGTTTAGAAGTTAAAACTACATCAGAGATTGTAAAATAATGGTGTATGGGAATAATGGCAGATGAGACACTGCAGAAGAAAAGAGAAAAGAACTTGAAAACATAGCAATAGAAACTATACAAAAAGGAACACAGAGAGAAAAACAGGAAAGAGTATCAGTTGAACAAATTTAGTTGGACTAACATATATATTATGGAAGTCTCCTAAGAAGGGGAGGGAGAAAAAATATCTTTAAAAATATTTTGCTATGGGTGAGTTAGGTGAAAAAAAAAGAAAGAAAAAATATTCTACCAACAAGACTGTTTTCACGTTATTTTGAGCAAAAAAAAAATTAGGTATAATTATATTATAACCCAAATTATAAAATAAATACTTATGAGTCCATACTAATATTAATAAGTAATTGCATACATAAATGAATGGGAGAGATGTGATTTAAATATAGACACAAATAGATTAAAATTAAAAGTGTTACACCATGCAAACACTAATTTTAAAAAGTTGATTACTACATCAGTATCAGAAAAAGTACATTTCAAATCGAAAATTATTACCAGAGATAAAGAAGGTAATTTCACAATAATAAAGTGGTCAATTCATCAAGAGGGTGTAATAATCCTAAATGTTTATGCTCTTCCTAACATTGCTTAAAAATGCATGAAGCAAAAACTAATAGAACGTCAAGGATACATGAGCAAATACACAATTATCATTGCAGATTTCAATATCCCTCTCTCAATAACTGATAGAACAAGTAGACAAAAAATCAGAAAGTACATAGAAAACTTGAATAACATTATCAATAAAGCTACAGTAATTAGAATAGTATAGCACTGGCATAAAGACAGACATATAGACCAGTGAAATATTATAGAATAGAAACCAGAAATAAATCCTCAAATATGGTCAGTTGATTTTTGTTAGGGACAAACTGCCCCAAGAAAGCTTCTTGGTGCTGCTCACCCTTCCCCCATTTCTAAACCCTTGTCTAGGTGCCATGGTAAAGCCAGCAGACTTCACTTATCAGACCTTGCTGCGATAAGCAAACCCCAGTTACAAACCATCTGGACTGCACAGGGGAAGGTCATGGGAAGTATAAACCAACTTTACCTACACCCTCCTGTAATAAACGTCACAAGCTGATATGTGGCAAAATTAACCAGGACACAACCCCGGGATGTGGCCATACCAAAGAACTCCCTCAAACTCCCCTCCCCAATATAAATCCCTCATTCTGTAAGCTTAGTGCTGCCTCCTCTGTCTGTGGTGGAGCATCCAGCAGGTTAATAAACTTCCTCGCCTAACCTTGTCTCTCTCTCATCCTTTCTCTTGGCTAACCTTACAGTTTTTGGTAAGGATAACATGACTATTCAGTGAGGAAGATGATCTTTTCAACAAATGATGCTGGAAAACAGGATATCAATATGCAAAAGAATAAAATTGAGCTCTTACCTTATACTGTATAAAAATTAACTCAGAATGAATCAAAGATTTAAACATAAGAGCTAAAACTATAAAACTCTTAAAACACTGGAGAAAATCTTTATGACATTGGATTTGGCAACAAGTCCAGAAATATTACACCAAAAGCACAGGGAACAACAGTAATTCAAGCTTCATGTATGTAAATGTTTAAATTACTATATCATATTTCTGTATTGAATTTTTTATTAATATATAATATCCTTCTTTGTCCTCTGAACTTTTTTGAAGTTAGGCCTATTTTGTCTAATATTAGTGTAGCTGCTTCAGCTCTCTTTTAGTTACTATGTGCATGAAATATCTTTTTCTATCATTTCATTTTCAACCTAATTGTGTATTTGGATGTAAAGTAAGTCTCTTGTAGACAGAATATAATTAGATCATCTCATTTTTGTGAGGGAGGGGGGGTCATTGTGCAAGTCTTTGTCTTTGTATTAGGGGGTTTAATCCATTTGCATTTTAAAATAATTACTGATAAGGAGAAACTTCTGCCATTTTGCCATATGTTTACTATTTGCCATATAGCTTTTTGTTCTTCATTTATTACTGTCTTGTGATTATTTAATTTTTTGTAGTAAAATGTTTTGGTTTTCAGTATTTTCTTTGTGGTTACCATGGGGCTCACCTTTAACATCCTAAAGTTATAACAATCTAATTGGACTTTAGACCAATTTAACTTCAATAACATACAAAATTCTGTGCCTAGAGCTCTTTCCATATCCTCCACTAGCTCTTGGAGCATTTTTAAGACAGCTGTTTTAAAGTCTTTGTCTAGTAAGTCTGATATCTGGGCTTCCTCAGGTACATTTTTGTCAACTTATATTTTTCCCTTAAGTGGACCATACTTTCCTGTTTCTTTGTGATTTTTTTTTTTTTTTTGGTGTAAACTGCAAGTTTGAATCTTATAATGTAATAACTATGGAAATTAGATTCTTCTCCTTCAGATTTTGCTCTTTTTCTGATTGTTGTAGCATGGCTCTATGCCTGGGTCAGCTTAAAGTAAAAGCTTAAGCTTTCATCAGGTTTTTACTGCATCTGTGTCTTTTTCTGGGCATAAGCAGTTACTTTCTAACGTTCTCCGTATGCAGAGTTGCCTTTGATTGTCCAAAGAACAGGCTCAGACCTTTCAATATCCTGGAAAACACTTCAGCCCATGGAGGTTAGAACAATGGCATCCAGCCTCCATGCCCATACCTCATCCATTAGAGCAACAATTCAAAACCATAAAACAAAACCCCAATATTTGGGGAACAAAGTCCTTATTACCTACTGTGGATAACACAAGCAGCACCAAAACCACAAGTTGCCATTCCTCAGCAGCTGCCACAGGGTTGGGAGTGGAAGGAGAATAGGTAGCTGCCACTGTACTGTTGGTTAAAAGTGACCAAAATTGCTGCAATTTACTAGCCCAGGTCTTCACCCAGAAGTGGCAAACATTCAAATAAACCCTAGAGGTCCAAAAACACTTACCTCTTACAGTTTCTGCTGTACTATTGTCCAGTTGGAGAGACAGATTCCTGGCACATCCTACTCCACTACCTTCCCTGACACCATCCTTAAAGGGAAATTTATATCACTAAATACCTATATTAGAAAAAAAGCCTCAAATCAATTACCTCAGCTTTCTCCTTAAGGAAACTAGAAAAGGAAGAGTAAATTAATTCCAAAGTAAGCACAACAAAGGAAATAATAAAGATCTAAGCAGAAAACAATGAAATAGATCTACTTATACCAAATCAATAATACAAATAAACAAAAAAATTGGTTTTTGAAAGGATCAATAATGTATAAAACTCTAGCTAGACTGACAGGAAAAAAATGGAAGACATACAAAATTACCAATATCAGGTATGAAAGTTGATTCTACAGATATTAAATGTGACCACTTAGATAAAACTGACACATTTCTTAAAAGACACAAGCTATCAATACTTACTCAGAAGAAACATTTAATCTTTACAGCTCTATGTCTAACAAAGAAATCTAATTTATAATTTCAAACCTTCTCCAAAAGACAACACCAGGCTCAGATGGCTACATTGGTTAATTCTCTCAAATATATCGGAAAAATTAGTACCAATTCTACACCAACTCTCACAGAAAATTCAAGAGAAGGGAATACTTCCCAATGTATTCTATGAGGCTGCATAACCCTAATTCTAAAGCCAGACCAAAACATTGCAAGAAGAGAAATCTACAGGCCAATATCCTTCATGAGTTTTGGTGTAAAATTATAGCAAAAAAATTTTGGCAAGCATGTTCAACAATATATTAAAAAGACAATATATCATAATCCATCAGTGTTTTAACATTCAAAAATCAATCTATTTAATTCACCATATTTATAAACTAAAAAATAAAAATCATATGATGATCTCTATTAGCACAGAAAAAAAAACTTGTTAAAATTCAACATCAATTCCTGAAATAAACTCTTGAAGCACTAGAATTAGAAGAAACTTGATATAATATATCTATTTTTAAAAGACCATAGCTAACATCATTGATTATTTTACACCTAAGGATCAAGAACAAGGCAAAGATTTCTACCCTCACCACTTCCATTCGACATTCTATAGAGAGTTTCATCTAGTTAAATTAGGAAAAAAAACAACAAATAAATAAAAGCCTCCAGATTGGAAAGAACAAAAACAAAACTGTCTTTATTTGTAATCACACAATCATCTATGTAGAAAATCTGATGATCTCTACAAAAACAACAGACTACAACTAATATATGATTATAGTAAAGCTTCAGGATACAAGATCAACATAGAAAAATTAATTCTGTTTCTATATAACACTAAGGAATAATTATAAATAGAAAAAATTAATACCTTTTACAATAGCATTAAAAGTATTAAAATACTTGGGTAATAGCTGACAAAGATATGCAAGGTCTGTACATTAAAAAGTACAGAACACATTCCCATTGTGATTGAGGATAGTGAAAGGAAAAATAACTACAGAACATTGATGAGAAAGAAAGAAGATCTAAATCAATGGAGAGCTATACCTTGTCTATGGATCAGAAGACCCAATATTGTTAAGCTATGAATTATTCCTAAATTTATCTATACGTTCAATGAAATGCCAATCAAAATTTCAAAATTCTAGTAGGTTTTTGTTGAAATTGATAAACTTACTCAAAAATTCCTACAGAAATGCAAAAGATCTAAAATAGACAGGACAATAGCCAAAACAATAGCCTGGAGTTTTCTTTTTGAGGTTTTTAATCACAAATTTCTTTGTTAGATGTAGAGCTATTCAGGTTAACTATTTCTTTTTGGGTAAGCACTGATAGTTTGTGTCTTTCAAGAAATGTGTCCATTTCATTGAAGTGGTCAAATTTAGTATCTGTAGAATCAACTCTTTCACACCTGATATTGGTAGTTTTGTGTCTACTCCATTTTTTCCTGATCAGTCTGACTAGAATTTTATCAATTGTATTGATCTTCTCTAGGAACCAATTTGAAAATGATGAACAAAGTCAGGGGACAAAACTAAATGATTTCAAGACTTAGTATAAGACTACAACAAATAAAACAGTGTAGAATGGGTGCAAAGATAGACAAACAGATCAGTAAGACAGAATAGAGTCCAGAAATAGACCCACAGATATGGGTACAATTAACTTTTGACAAAAGTACAAAGGCAAGTCAAGAAACTCAGGAAAGGCTAGCCTTTTCAATAAATGGTGCTGGAATCATTATATATTCATAAGCAAAAAAGAACAAGAACTTCAACATGTATTTCAAACCATACACACAAGTAAATTCAAGATGGGTCATAGATTTAAAATGTGAAACCTAAAGCTACAAAACTTCTAGACAAAACCATAGGAGAATATCTTTGTGGCACGGAGTGAGGCAATTATTTCTTATCTAGAACAAAAAGAAGAGTATACACAAAAGATAAGTTGATAAATTGGACTTTATCTAAATGTAAAAACATCTGTGTATTATTTATTTATTCTCAAGACAGGGTCTTACTATGTTACCCAGGCTGGAGTGCAGTGGCACAATCACAGCTCACTGCAGCCTTTAACTCCTGGACTCAAGCGATCCTCTCAGCTCAGCCTCCCAAGTAGCTGGGACCACAAGCGCACACCAACACACCCAGATAATTTTTGTATTTTTTATAGAGATGGGGTCTTGCCATATTTCCCAGATAGATTTCAAACTCCTGGGCTCAAGTGATGTGCTCACCTTGGCCTCCCAAAGTGCTGGGATTACAGGTGTGAGCCACTGTGCCCATCCAACATCTGTGTATTAATCACAACTTTTATTTTGTGTATTTTATAATGTTTTGACATTTTGGGGAGGATCTTGCTGCCTAGGGAAAGACTGCCCCTGCAAGGGCTAGTTCATTCCCAGAGAGAGTAAATAACTTGTTGTTAAGTCTACCCTTCATATATTATTAAATAACTAACCAATCCAGAGTTCATACCCCCAATCACCTCCTTTATCTAATTCTCACACACCAAGTCAGTATTTCCCCTGCCCTAAATCAACCCAGGGCAAGGTACCAAACAACTAGGGACAACCCTGTACCCTAAAGCCTGCTGGAGCTGATCCTAAGCTTTTTCCCCTGCCCTGCTTTGACTTTCCAATAGAGACCCCAATAAGTTCTGTGACCTGTGCCTTCCCCTTGCTTCTTTCTGCCTCTTAACTGACACCGGTGCTTCACCTGTGGCCACCATTTTATACTGTGCCTAGCATTTCGAAGGAAACTATGAGTAACATTAAACTTTTCTCTCAATGGCATTGACCTATCTGTGTTGTCACTCAGTAATCTCTATAAATTAAGACCCAAGAACAAATCAATCAGCTCCTCAAAAGACCCTGCCAAGAAAATAAAAACAGCAAACACAGATAGCAAGCAATATCTGCAAAGCATATATCTGATGATGGATGCATATAGAATACACACACACATACACACACACATATATATATACATACATACATATTCACCTCACTGAAGGGGGTTAGGGGGAGGCACTACCCCAACAAACCTGAAAATGGGTGGACTCCACAACATCAAAGGCTAAACAAATTGTACATAAGTACTATACCCTAGTTGATAAAGTTGTTTACCACAGGGTATAAGTTAACAATCACGATACTGCTACACACATATACTATACACATATGCTAGAAATATATATATATATAATATTATATATAATATGTATTATATATAATATATATTAAGAATATATATATTATATATATAAAGAAAATATATATATATATATATTCTTAAAACTCTCCATTCCCAATAAGAAAACCACAACTCAATGTAGTAACGGACAAACTATTTGAATAGACACTTCATCAAAGAAGATATGTGAAGGACAAATAAAGGACAAAACTATGCTCAGTATTATTGGTGATCAGGAAAATGCAAATTAAAACCACAAAAAGATACCACTACACACCCATTAGAATAGCTAAAATTAAAAGGACTGATCATACCAAGTGTTGGTGAGGATTTGGAAGAACGGAACTCTCCTACGCTGCTGGTGAGAATGTAAAATGATGCAACCACTCTGGAGAATATTTTGGCAGTTTCTTTAAAGTTTAACTGTTCATTTATTGCATGACCCAATCATTCTAAGAATATTAATATGAAATAAAAAATACACATCCATATAAAAACACATATACAAATATGCAAATAATCTGTCATACTCAAAATTTGAAGCAACCTAAATTAATAGTAATAGATCAATGGATAGACAAGTTGTAGGATAGCCATGCAATGTAAAATTATGCAGCTATAAAAATGAACTACTGATGGCTGGGCATGGTGGCTCACGCCTGTAATCCCAGCACTTTGGGAGGCCGAGGAGGGTGGATCACAAAGTCAGGAGATTGAGACCATCACGGCTAACATGGTGAAACCCCGTCTCTACTAAAAATATAAAAAATAAGCTGGGCGCGGTGGCGGGTGCTTGTAGTCCCAGCTACTCGGGAGGCTAAGGCAGGAGAATGGCGTCAACCTGGGAGGCAGAGCTCGCAGTGAGCCAAGATCACGCCCCTGTACTCCAGCCTGGGCATCAGAGCGAGACTCTGTCTCAAAAAAAAAAAAAAAAAAACTATTGATAACACATCAATAAATCTGAAAATATTTATACTGAACAAAAGAAGGCAGTTAAAAGGAATGCTCAATGTATACTTTTATTTACTTAAAAAAAACTCTAGAAAATGCAAACTAATGTATAGTGACAAAAAAAGATCAATGACTATCTGGGAGGTGGGATAGGAAAGGGATTGCCAAGAAAAATGAGAAAAGTGTTCAGAGTGATGGGTTTAGTGGCATAAACATATGTCAAACTTTACCAAATTATATACTTTTAATATGTAAAGTTTCTTGTCTATATTTTTAAAAAATGGAACAGTATATACAAATCTAGATTTTTGGCTTCTCTTGAAAAACTTACAAAATTTAGAAACACTGGACCCAAGTTCCTGTGTCACAACAATTAGCTACAGCCAAGTAGCAGCTAGACATATACTTTGAATAGCCACAGACCCAATCACTCTGTTTTTCTCATATATATCCATTTTCTTAATTTATTCTCTTCTTGGTCTCCATAACACTCAAGTGTTTGATCCTTGCACCATCTCTGTACTCTCCCCTTCATGAAAGGGAACTAGAAACTTCCAGCAAAGTCAAAGATTTTCATTTTAAATCTCCTGGGTCAATTAAAAAAGTAATATTCATCTCATTTATTGTTAATAGGAATGTAAAATAGTACAGCCACTTTGGAAGGCAGTTTGGCAGTTTCTAACTATAAGATATAGCAATCATGCTTCTAGGTATTTACCCAACTGATTTGAAAACTCATGCCCACACAAAAAACTGCAAGGGAATGTTTGTAGTAATTTTACTCATAATTGCGCAAAACAGGAAGCAACTAAGATGTGCTTAAATAGCTGAATGGATAAACAAAGTGGTACATTCATACAATGGGATATTATTTAGTGATTTCTGAAAAAGAACGACCAAGCTGCAAAAAGACATGGAGGAATTTCAAATGCATTCATTGCTAAATGAAAAATGTCAGTCTGAAAAGCCTATATGCTATGTGATTCCAACTATATGACATTCTGGCAAAGGCAAAACTATAAACATAGTAAAAATATCAGTGTTGGCCAGGATTCTGGGGGAAGGAGAGAGAGTTGAGTAGGTAAACCCCAAGGAATTTTTTAGGGCGGCAACATTATTCTTTATGATACTCTAATGGTAAATACATTATTATACTATTCATTTGTCAAAACCCACAGAGCTTCGTAGCACGAAGAGTGAGCCTTAATGCATGCAAATTTTTCAAAAATTATTTAGAAGTTTGGAGAATATCAAGATGAAATGCAGAATATGGCAAAATAATCTAATTGTATTACAAATGTCTAAAACCACCTCCCTGAAGGTGGTTAGGGAGAGATACTAACCTGACAAACCTGAAAATGGGTGGACTCCATAACATCAAAGCCAAAACAAATTGTACATAAGCACTATACTCTAGTTGATAAAGTTGTTTCCCACAGGGTATAATTTAACACTCATGATACCACTGTACATATATACTAGAACTGAACAAGTAAATAAACGGATCTCAAATGGTGGGAGCCAGATTCTCACTGTTGAAGTTGGAGGTCTCAATTAAACAAGGGGAGGAGGCTAGACTGATCCATCTGGCAATGGATTCCAGTTGGAGCTGTCAGTATGAAGTTATGTTTGGATTTCTATAGACAAGGCAGCTATATTCAGATCTATTTATAGATATATGTTTATAATGAGTTACTAAACACACATAAATTTTCTTGCTTTACAAGGCTCAAAAGCCTTGAAAAAATGAACCCCAGAAACAATGAACACGCTTAGCACCCAGACCTTTCTCTGGACAACCACTTCCTACCTGCCCCTGGCCCTCCATTTCTTCCTCCTAAAGTGTACCTTGGTGATCATCTATTTCAATTCTTTAAGTTCTCAGATAATGAAGATAGGGGCGCAAAAAGACGGCATTAGTTTTCCAAAGTCACAGAGCCAATTGATAATAGGGCCAGCAATGGAACTCCCCGATATTATTGCAATGACTTTTACTTACAGGGTAATTCGCATACTGTGGGGTGCATGTTTATTGTATTTTGTATAACAAAACAAACAAAAAAAAAAGGACCATTTGGGACAAGCTCCTTCCTTTAAATATTCTCCAACACCTTTCTTAGGACTAGGAGTGCTGGAGATAAATTTGCCCTAGTTCTTTTTTGGATTCACTTTAATAAAAACTGCTCATCTTCTCAACCTCACAAGATTTTCTTTGACAGGTGTTGCATCTTCTTATGAGCATAAGTGTCCTTCCAAAAGAAGAGTTAAATGGATTAGAGTTTGTTAACATTAAGCTTTTTAAAAACGAGCAAACAGAACAGAGGACATTTTGACTTGGCCCAAAATCAAAGAAACTGATGGACTGATGCGCTTATCTACTTTTTTTTTAAGTTTCATTATGTAACAAGGGAAAAATCATCTCAAATTTTCCTGGCCCTCACCCTTCCTGCTTCTCTTTGCTTTCTTTATAGTTAAGCAAAGCCACTCAAAAAATTGGCTCTTAAAAATGTCTTTAGAAAAAGCGCCCGGTTGTAAGGTAGGTAACGTGCTTTCCTTTCTGCTTACTCTGGAGCTTTGCAGACATTAAAACTCAAATTTCTTACACACTGGCACCGTCTTAATTATTCCCCCTTTGTTTTGTTTGATTGGAAGTAATTACAATAATTCGCAATTACCCATTAAATCACCCTTTTTCCAGTAGCAGTACTGTCCTCTCTGTTCCACATGTTCCTAATGTAACTTGAGAATAATGTTTTTTTTTCCAAGGTCTTGCATCAATCGGGGCCCTACTTTAACCCATCTAATTTCTTACTTTCCTCCAGCATACCTTCCCATTCACCTGAGCTAAAATTTCTTCCTTTCTAACCCCACCCCTCTCCCACCCTCAGTCTCATCTCTCTGTCTCATAAACACACATGCACACATACACAGGTACACGTGTGTACCTTTGTACAAACATGCATACACACACATGCACACATACACAGGTACACATATGTACCTTTATACCTTGCTGACAATTGCATTCCCAGCTCAGAGGCTTCCAACTCTTTGTCTATGCAAACTCTACTCATCTTCCAAGCCTTGCAAAGTTACCTTGTTTCCAAAAACGTTCCCTAATTTGCAAGATACTCTGCTAGGCACAGTTAAAGAATAAAGATTAATTCTACATAGCCTCTATCCTCAAGGAGCTGGTAATGCTCACTGGTTCCTTCTCAAAGATACTAGGACGTTTCATCTCACCACAAGCACTTGATTATATAAAGAACATCTTGCTATTTTCTATCTCAACCATGGATTGTTAGAACATAAATCGTACATTATTCTCCATGATCTTTGCTTTGCTATTCCAATTTAGAGGAGGAGTGGGTGACAGGGGAAGGAAGACGTGAACACAGGGAAGGGCTCAGATAATAATTTCAGTAGCCTTCAATTCTGGGCCTAGACCCAAGAGAATAACCAGGACTCTAAGTCACCTAGGGAAAGAATATACATCAAGGCCCATGTACCATATGTTTAAATATTTAAAAGTATAGATCAAGCTAATAAATAAAATATGCTCTCTCCCTCCCATCTTGATGAATATTCCCTCACAACAACAAAATTGAAAAGCATGTATAAAGCTAGGGTTTTAAATGACTAAAAGTCAAAAAATATCAACAATCCAAGGGGATTCCCTCTCCAAGGGAACATGCAGTGCCCCTCTCAGGAAAGTAACAACCTGGAATAGAATCTGGCATGCCTAAGGTCTTTGAGGAATAGAGGAATAGAGGATGCTTGTTTCCTCTGCCTTCCTTGGCTGCCTACATGGACACCTAAGTCTCTTCCCCTCAGGATAGATTGTCCTCTCATGCATATGCTGAAGAGTCGTCTTTCTTGACATAGGCCAGAGGCACTGAGGTGCAGCAGGTTTCTTTAGTCATCAACTATGACCTTCCCACCAATAGGGAAAAGTATATCCACAGAATCAGTCGAGTTGGACAGTTTGGCCTTAAGGGTGTGGCTATTAACATGGTGACAGAAGAAAACAAGAGAACACTTCAAGACATTGAGACTTTCTACAACACCTCCACTGGGAAGATGCCCCTCAATGCTGCTGACCTCATCTGAGGGGCTGTCCTGCTACCTAGCCCCAGCCAGGGTTCAATCTTGGGAGGTTGAGGAGCAGCAGGAGAGGGGAAGGAAGGGAGACAAGAAGTGGACATCTTGTCTCTTTTTTTTCTTTGAATAAATGTCATTTTTTGAGGCAAAAGAAATATATATATATATATATATATATATATATATGAACAATGACTAAACATAATTATCATTGTCTTTTTCTAATGTTCTGTTTCTGGGCTAGTAGTAGTGTATAGATCAGTAATAAAAGCAAACATCGTTCATAATTACTACTCGTTTATTCCATGAGCTTTATTTTCCCTGCCTTCATTTCAGCAAAATCACTGTTATCATTGAGATTTTCATGTTTCATATTCCATTGATAGTAATGAGATTTTAAAATATATTTGTATCAAAGTTTACAAAATTTCAATATATTTTCAACAAATAGTGAATTTCAAAAAATAAAAAGTTTATTTTTATAATATGTTTCAGAAAGGTATTTTTTCCAAAGCACACAAAGTAATGCATTAAAATTAAAAGACAAAAAAAGTAATTTAAAATATCAAAGTTTAAATCAAAATTATTTAAGTAAAGCTGAATTTTATTTAATTATTTTTACTTAGTTATATCTTACTATGTACTTTATAAAAATAAATTTATTCCCAATTCAATGTCCATCTACTTGCCAATGAAGAATTAGTATCACATTTCACAATGTTACATCTGGATCCACACATATACAAATCGAAGAGCATTTTTGTTTAAAATTGAAAATGTTCTTCAGCTGTTAGAAGCAACTGTAGCAAATATTATGTCAATCCGTGAATAACTCTGAAACCACAATTAAAACCTGAAGAGAAACCAGAAATGGATACCAGGTGCTACTGGAAAATTATACTTCATTATGCAAGAATCTATTGCATTCATGCTATCTGAGAAAATGATTTAACAAATTAATTTCAAATGTTTTACATTTACATAAGTGCTGCCACCTCTTACATCCTCACCACTCATCTAACCAGTGTCCTCTCATGTCTTTAGTGACACCACCCACAAACCTTCTCAGCATTTAAAAACAATTCTTTTCAGTTTTGAGACAAGACATAAGGCAAGAGTGGTGAAGAATTATTTCCCTGGAGTGATGAGAACTAATGTTTAAATTATATCTCACGCCCAGCACTGAGCACTAACTATCAAAGGACAGAGGCACTCATGTGCTGTTTAACAATATTTTTATGTATTTTTATTTTTTATTTTTATTTTTTTGAGACAGCGTCATGCTCTGTTGCCCAGGTTGGAGTGCCGTGGTACGATCTCAGCTCACTGCAACCTCTGTCTCCCAGGTCAAATCCATTCTCCTGCCTCAGCCTCCTGAGTAGCTGGGATTACAGGTGTGAGCCACCACATCTGGCTACTTATTGTATTTTTAGTAGAGATGGGTTTTCGCCATATTGGCCAGGCTGGTCTTGAACTCCTGACCTCAGGTGATCCACCCACCTCAGCCTCCCAAAGTGCTGGGATTACAGGCATGAGCCACAGTGCCAGGCCAACAATTTTTGGTTTGTGTGCCGTGTCCAGGACTAATAGCAATAGTTTAGGTCTGATAGCCTCCAAAAATTAAGAAATGAAAGAAGTCCATGAAAAAGAACACGATAGGACACTAAAGGGAAACATTCAGAATGTCAGAAAGAGTTCTTAATACAAAATGGTGACTATAGTTGATAACAATGTATTGTATTCTTGAAAATTGCTAAGAGAATAGATTTCAAGTGTTCTCACCAAAAAGTTATGTATATATATGAAGTAATTCATATGTTAGCTCAATGTAACCATTCCACAATGTATATATATTTTAAAACAGGTTGTACACAACTTATATGATTTTTATCAATTTAAAAAATAAACTATAAACAATATTTTGTTACCAAAAAAAAGAGTTCTTGAAAATTAAAAATACAACAGCAAAAATTTAAATCCAACAAAAGTGTTTGAAAATAATGTTGAGGAAATATCCCAGGAAGTAGAAAAAAGAGAGAAAGAAAGTTTGTGAGGTAAGTAAGGAAACTAGAGGATCAATCCAGGATATATAGCAGCCAACTAATAGGAGTTCTAGAAAAGAAAAAGAGGGAAAATAAAGAGTAACAATGCTATTATAATTTCAGTACTACCTTCAAAGAACTGAAAAATATGAGTTTCCAGATTGGACGAGCTCACTGAAAAAACAGTGCAATCGATGAAAAAATATTCTGTATAATGGTCCATCGTGTGGCATTTGTAAATACCAGGGGCAAAGATGAAAGCCTAAAATTATGTGAATGGTGGAAAAAAGAAAGTGTTCATTTACAAAAGATATATCACTGTCATTAAAACTCCTATTAGCAAAACTGGTAGAAAACAATGTAGCAATATCATCAAAATGTGAGAGGATATTGATGCCAATCTAGAATTCCGTACCCAGCCAAACTATCAGTCAAGTACATGGGTGAAATAAGGACATTTCAGAGTTTCAATATGCCCCCAAAATTGTCTTCCCAGCTACGTTTTCCAGGAAGCTACTTGTTGACCCATTCATTCCTCCTCAGTGAAAAGTTAAGCCGGAAGAAGAAGGACAGGGAAACCAGGTAACAAGGCTCCTACACAGAAAGGTAAAGGCATTCACAGGATGAGAGTGAAGAGAAGTCCCAGGATAGCAGCTCTAGTTAGACACATCTAGAAGTCTCTCTAGATTTCTTTTTAGAGAGAAATCAGCTTGACTAGAACAGATGCAGGAGGCTTCTGGACTAGGTAGTCATGAAGAAAATAAAAGTAATAGAATACCTGACAGGTTGCAAACATACTCAGACAAGATTTTCTGGTCTATTCCAGGGGAAAGTTTGAGAGATTTCACAACGGATGCAAAGAAAATTTTGCAAATAAAGAAGTGGCAATAATTAATTCCAAGAAAAATATCAAAAGTTATTTTTCAAAAAGAAAAAATGTTGTCCTAGCATACTTTGTAAGTTCAACTGTGAATATTAATTACATAGTAATAATATAAACATTGAGAAATGACTTAACCAAAAATTTTGAAAAAAAAAAACATACTGGAAGAATGCGAGAACAGTCAGAAGAATAACATGAGTGTGTGTGTAGAGGCACTATATCACTGAAAAAATAAGAAATGGTAGTATAATAATGGTCTATGGGGGAAAAAACAAGAGAGTTAAAAATATTACCATGGGAATTGGGAATGAAAGGAAATTTGGCACAGAACTACTGTTTCTTAGTTACCTACCTAGTATTATTTATTGACTTGTTAAACTATGTACCTGTTTTACTTTGATAAAATTCAATTTAAAAATCAGTTGCATGGGAGGGAGTATGGAATGAGACTGTTTGTGAGAAATCATGAAGCAATTCCAGAACAATGAGAGTGTGCATTGGCCAGGGACAAAGAGTAAAATTGTTTCTCTGCATTAAAAAGTTTATTTTAGAGTCAAGGTCGTGATTTTAAAGTGCAACTAGCCAGTGTAATTATATCTTTTCCTCCGACTGCATTTCTCCAAGCACAGATACAGGCGCCAAGCAAAAAGTTGGATTTAATCAAGGTTGCAGTTTGTCAAAGTGAATATATGAAGTGAGAAAATGGAAAGTGAGTCAAAGACATATGCAAGGGTTATAACAATTGAACATGGAATTTAAGATAGGTGAAGAAGGAATCAAGATAGCAAGGGAATCATGATAGCAAGGGGATGAAAGGCAGAGAAAATATGGTAGGACCAATGGATTGAAAGTCTGATGGAATAGAAAGGTCATTGGTGTTGGACTACTAGAGGGAGGGAGGTAGAAGAGTAGAGGCGTTGGTCAAAGAAAGGGAGGCATGAGATGGAGATTAAGGAGATGTAATTATTGGTGATGACAAAGTTGCAAATGTAACTAGGGGTGGAGGACAAAGAAACAAGAAGAGCTTAAGAAAGTGAGGAGACAGGACTTACTTTGGGTAACATGACAACAAGCAATAAGGAAGCTGTTGGGGGGGCAATTATCGACATCCATAATGTAGAATGCCATTTTCACATTTCATATCTATGACTTTTATCTTCCTGAGTTTATAAATTCAGGATGGGAATAGCTGTTTTACCACATCTGTAGTAAATCCTGTACACATCTGAGGGGTAGGGGTGAGATATACTTACAAATCCTTGCAGAGGATGACTTCAGTTCAGAGGTTCTTTGGTGGTTCTTAATGACCTACATAATAAGGTACTGAACAGCTGTCTTTCATTTCAGAGGACATTTATGAAGTTCTACTCTATGTCTACTCCATCCTTTACCCAAAATGGCTCAAGCCCACCTATGCAGACTCACTGTGAATACATGAAAGCCACATGCCACATCCTGTCTTCATTATTCACTCAGACTCACCCTGGTTCCTTCACTCCTCTTCCTTGGGTCACCAATCTTTTGATTCTATCCTTGTTGCCCTAATTATTATTTCAAGCTTCCCATTCTAGGTCAGCATCTTGTAATTCTTCAGTGTATTTCAGCCAATTGTCTTGTTTTTGAACATGCACTGGGGCCAACCCGTATTTGGGATCATCCTCCATTTCAAATAATACATTCTCTCTGTTCATCCGAGTTCTTTGTGAGGGCCAGGCCACTCTGCACATGGGCCATAGTGAGGGTGAGTGTGCACCCTGTTCCAGACACTTGTTTCCTCTTTGAATTCTCACCAAACAAGGCAGAAGTATCAGCAAAAATAAACCAAAAAATAGTATATGCAGTTTCACTGCACCTCTTCTTCTGGGGCTGAAGATAAATAATCCAAAGTTCTTGTCCCCCAGGATATGTATTCATGCTTCATGTCTTTGGCTCCAAATACGGTCCATTGTTTTTCATCAAACAACGCATACTACATATCTAGTATGTGCCTGGAACCAGGCTCTAGAGGGGTAGACTTACAAAAATGAACAGGCTTCCATTTAGCTTTCCATCAATCCTTTGGACACTTAAAGACTATACACGAGTTTTAGTACAACTTTCCCTTGCTTTGGGAATTGGAGGCTTTGTCTACTAAAACAAGGAATAGTTTTTTGCTCCATATCCTGATTTGATTGAAGTTATGAAAAATCCAATCCTATCAAAACTTTACTGCCAATTATCTCAACATCCTGCTACAATTTTATAATTATCCAAGGAATTTATACAGCCAAAAAATAAAGTTTGAGGAATTATTTTTATACCGAATTTACAATTTTGCTAATGGTTGTTCCAAGGGTATTTTAAATTATTTTTCCCAAAGAATCTGCATTTAACTAATTAATATGCTCTTTTAAAATAGTTCCTTGATTTTTAACTTTTTACATGTTTATATTATTTTCCTAGCTAGGGCTCATGCCTGTAATCCCAGTATTTTGGAAAGCCAAGGTGGGAGGATCACTTGAGCCCAGGAGATCAAGACCAGCTTGAGCAATATAGGAAGACTCCATCTCTACAGAAATAAAAAATAAAATTCAAATTTAAGAAATCAGCATCTTATATTTTCCTCATTTTGGACACAGCTCCAAACATCTTGCTGGTTATATAGTATGCCCTTAATACACGGGTGGGAGTTTTGTTTGCTTGGCTGGTTTTTGTACTGGTTTTGTAGCAATACACTCAAGAAAGGTATAAAGAACATATTTTTTTAAGCTTTATGCAATCTCAATGTTAGTGCCTCCATTTAAAAATCAGTCTTGGCTGAGCAAGGTTGCTTATGCCTATAATCCCAGCATTTTGGGAGGCTGAAGTGGGAGGATCACTTGAGCCCAGGAGTTTGAGACTAGCTTGGGCAATAAAGGGAAAACCCATCTCTAGAAAAATATAAATAATTTTTTAAATATAACTGTCTCTAATAACCACACTATAGTTATGTAAGAAAGTATCCTTAGAAAATACACATTGAAGTATTTAGGAGTTAAAAGGCACAATGTCTCCAATTTACTCTCGAAGGGAATGTATGTGTATATATAGAGAGAGACAGAACAAGAGACAGATAACAGAGCGAGAGACAAACAGAGAAATGGTGAGACAGAGAAATGGTGAAGTGAAAATTGGAGTAGCCAAAAACATAGAGACAGAAAGTAGAATGGTGGGTTGCCAGGGGCTGAGGCAAGGTGGAAACACAGTGTTATCACGTCATAGGTATAGAGTTGCAGCTTTGCAAAATGAAAAGAGTTATCAGATGGAGTGATGGATGGTGATGATGGCTGCATAACATTATGAATATAATTACTACTACTGAACTGCATACTTAAAAATGATTAAGATGTTAAATTTTATGTTATGTGTATTTTACCATAATTTTTAAGTTGGGGGAAAAGACAGCAAATGGGGGAAATTGTCAACAGGTGATGAATCTGATAAAGAAGGGTACATAAAAGTTCTCTGGACTATCGTTGAAAATTTGCTGGAATTTTAA